>NC_000015.10:17000000-17049135 GCF_000001405.40 Homo sapiens
CTCACACAGAGCTGACCTTTCTTTTTATGGAGCAGTATTGAAACGCTCTTTTTGCAGAATCACCAAGTGGATATTTGGAGAGCTTTGGGGCCTGTTTTGGAAAATGAAATATCTTCAAAGTAAAACTACACAGAACCATTCTGAGAAGCTTCTTTGTGATGTGTGCATTCAACTCTCAGAGTTCAACGTGTCTTATGATGGAGCAGTTTGGAAACACTCTTTTTTGTAGAAACTGCAAGTGGATATGTAGAGCGATTTGAGGCCTACTGTGGAAAAGCAAATATCTTCACATAACAACTACACAGAAGCACTCCTAGAAACTTCTTTGTGATGTGTGAATTCAACTCACAGAGCTGAACCTATCTTTTGATGGAGTAGCTTAGAATCTCTCTTTTTTTAGAATCTGCACGTGGATATTTGGAGCGCTTTGAGACCTAAAGTGGAAAAGCAAATATCTTCACATAAAATCTACATAGAGGCACTCTAAGAAACTTCTTTTTGATGTGTGCATTCACCTCACAGAGCTGAACCGATCCTTCGAGTGACCAGTTTTGAATCTCTCTTTTTATACAATCTGCAAGTGGATATTTGGAGCCCTTTGCGGCCTATGGTGGAAAAGGAAATATCTTCAAATAAAAACTACACAGAAGCATTCTGAGTCCCTATTTTGGAAAAGAAAATATCTTCACTTAAACAACTACGCAGAAATACTGTGAGAAACTTCTTTGTTATGTGAGCATTCAACTCACAGACTTGAACCTATCTTTTGATTGAGCAGTTTTGAATCTCTCATTTTGCAGAATCTGCAAGGGGATATTTGGAGCCCTTTGCGGCCTATGGTGGAAAAGGAAATACCTTCAAATGAAAAGCACACAGAGGCATTCTGAGAAACTTCCTCGTGATTGTGCATTCAACTCACAGAGTTAAACCTATCTTATGATTGACCAGTTTTGGAACACTCTTTTCATAGGATCTGCAAGTGGATATTTGGCGTGCTTTGAGGCCTATCGTGGAAAAGCAAATAACTTCAGATAAAAACTATACAGAAGCATTCTGAGAAACTTCTTTGTGATGTGTGCATTGATCTCACAGAGTTGAAAGTGTATTTTGATTGAGCAGTTTTGAAACACTCTTTTTGTAGAATCTGCAAGTGGATAATTGGGGAGATTTGAGGTATATTGTGGAAAAGCAAGTATCTTCATATAAAAACTATACAGAAGCTTTCTGAGAAACATCTTTGTGAGGTTTGCATTCAACTCACAGAGCTGGAACTATCTTTTGAGTGACCAGTTTTGAATCTCTCTTTTTGTACAATCTGCAAGTGGATATTTGGAGCGTTTTGAGGCCTACATTTGAAAATCAAATATCTTCCCTTAAAAGCTACACAGAAACATTCTCAGAAATTGTTTGTCATGTGTGCTTTCAAATTACCAAGTTGAACCTACCTTGTGATTGAGCAGTTTTGAATCTCTCTTTTTGTGGAATCTGCAAGTGGATATTTTTAGCCATTTGCGGACTGTGGTGGAAAAGGAATTATCTTCAAATCCATTCTACACAGAAGCATTCAGACAAACTTTTTGTGATGAGTGCATTGGTCACACAGAATTGAACCTCTCCTTTGATTGAGCAATTCTGAAACACTCTTTCAGAGGGTCTGCAAGTGGATATTTTAGAGCTTTGGGACAATTGTGGAAAAGTAAATATCTTCACATAGAAACTACACGGAAGCATTCTGAGAAACTTCTTTGGAGGTGTGCATTCAACTCACAGAGTTGAACCTATCTTTTCATTGAGCAGTTTTGAATCTCTCTTTTTGTAGACTCTGCTTGCAGATACTTGGAGAGCTTTGAGGCCTATTGTGGAAAAGGAATCATCTTCACATAAAAACACACAGAAGCACTCTGAGAAACTTCTTTGTGAAGTGTGCATTCAACTCACAGAGTTGAACCTATCTTTTGATTGAGAAGCTTTGAATCTCTCTTTTTGTAGAAGCTGCATGTGGATATTTGGAGACGTTTGTGGCCTATGGTAGAAAAGGCAATATCTTCAAATAAAAACTAGACAGAAGCATTTTGAGAAATTTCTCTGTGCTGTGTGCATTCATATCACATGGTTGAAACTACCTTTTGGTTGAGCAGTTTTGAATCTCTCTTTTTGTAACATCTGCAATGGATATTTGGAGCCCTTTGTGGTCTGTGGTGGAAAAGGAACTATCCTCAAATAAAAACTACACAGAAGTATTCCGAGAAACTTCCTTGTGATGTGTGCATTCATCTCACAGGGTTGAACCTTTGGTTTGATTGAGCAGTTTTGAGACAATCTTTCCATAGAATCTGGAAGTGAATATTTGGAGAACCTTGAGATCTATTTTGGAGAAGGAGATATCTTTATATGAAAACTGCACAGAAGCATTCTGAGAAACATCTTTGTGAGGTGTACAATGAAGTCACAGAGTTGAAACTATGTTTTGATTCAGCAGTTTTGAGTCTCTCTTTTTGCAGAATCTGCGAGTGGATATCTGGAGAACTTGGAGGCCTATTTGGAAAAGGAAATATCTTCACATATAAACTATGCAGAAGCATTTTGAGATTCTTCTTTGTGAGGTGTGCATGCAACTCACAGAGTTGAACTTATCTTTTCCTTGAGCACTTTCATATCTCATTTTCTGTAGAATCTGCAAGTGGATATTTGGAGCTCTTTGCACCCTGTGGTGGAAAGGGAACTATCTTCATATAAAAACTACAAAGAAGCATTCAGAGAAACTTCTTGTGATGAATGCATTCCTCACACAGAGCTGAACCTTTCTTTTTATGGAGCAGTATTGAAACGCTCTTTTTGCAGAATCACCAAGTGGATATTTGGAGAGCTTTGGGGCCTGTTTTGGAAAATGAAATATCTTCAAAGTAAAACTACACAGAACCATTCTGAGAAACTTCTTTATGATGTGTGCATTCAACTCTCAGAGTTGAACCTACCTTATGATTGAGCAATTTGGAAACACTCTTTTTGTAGAGCCTGCAAGTGGATATTTAGAACGATTTGAGGCCTATTGTGGAAAAGCAAATATCTTCACATAAAAACTACACAGAAGCATTCTGAGAAACTTCTTTGGCATGTGTGCATTCAACTAACAGTGTTGAACGTATCTTTTGATTGAGCAGCTTAGAATCTCTCTTTTTGTAGAAAATGCAAGTAGATATTTGGAGCCCCATTTTGCCCTATGGTAGAAAACAAAACATCTTCACATAAAATCTACACAGAAGCATTCTGAGAAACTTCTTTGTGATGTTTGCATTGAACTCCCAGAGTCGAACCTATCTTTTGATAGAGCACTTTTGTATCTCTCTTTTTGCGGAATCTGCAAGTGGATATTTGGAAAGCTTGAGGCCTATTGTGAAAAAGGAAATATCTTCACATAAAAACTACAGAGAAGCATTCTGAGAAACTTCTTTGTGAGGCATGGATTCAACCCACAGAGTTGGACTTATCATTGAGCAGTTTTGAATCTCTCTTTTTGTCGAATCTGCAAGTGGATATTTGGAGCCCTTTGCAACCTAGGGTGGAAAAGGAAATACCTTCAAATAAAAACTATATAGAAGCATTCCGTAAAACTTCTTTGTGACGTGTGCATTCGTCTCACAGAGTTGAACCTATCTAATGATTGAGCGGTTTTGAAACACTCTTTTTGTAGAATCTGCAAGTGGATAATTGGGGAGATTTGAGGTATATTGTGGAAAAGCAAGTATCTTCATATAAAAACTATACAGAAGCTTTCTGAGAAACATCTTTGTGAGGTTTGCATTCAACTCACAGAGCTGGAACTATCTTTTGAGTGACCAGTTTTGAATCTCTCTTTTTGTACAATCTGCAAGTGGATATTTGGAGCGTTTTGAGGCCTACATTTGAAAATCAAATATCTTCCCTTAAAAGCTACACAGAAACATTCTCAGAAATTGTTTGTCATGTGTGCTTTCAAATTACCAAGTTGAACCTACCTTGTGATTGAGCAGTTTTGAATCTCTCTTTTTGTGGAATCTGCAAGTGGATATTTTTAGCCATTTGCGGACTGTGGTGGAAAAGGAATTATCTTCAAATCCATTCTACACAGAAGCATTCAGACAAACTTTTTGTGATGAGTGCATTGGTCACACAGAATTGAACCTCTCCTTTGATTGAGCAATTCTGAAACACTCTTTCAGAGGGTCTGCAAGTGGATATTTTAGAGCTTTGGGACAATTGTGGAAAAGTAAATATCTTCACATAGAAACTACACGGAAGCATTCTGAGAAACTTCTTTGGAGGTGTGCATTCAACTCACAGAGTTGAACCTATCTTTTCATTGAGCAGTTTTGAATCTCTCTTTTTGTAGACTCTGCTTGCAGATACTTGGAGAGCTTTGAGGCCTATTGTGGAAAAGGAATCATCTTCACATAAAAACACACAGAAGCACTCTGAGAAACTTCTTTGTGAAGTGTGCATTCAACTCACAGAGTTGAACCTATCTTTTGATTGAGAAGCTTTGAATCTCTCTTTTTGTAGAAGCTGCATGTGGATATTTGGAGACGTTTGTGGCCTATGGTAGAAAAGGCAATATCTTCAAATAAAAACTAGACAGAAGCATTTTGAGAAATTTCTCTGTGCTGTGTGCATTCATATCACATGGTTGAAACTACCTTTTGGTTGAGCAGTTTTGAATCTCTCTTTTTGTAACATCTGCAATGGATATTTGGAGCCCTTTGTGGTCTGTGGTGGAAAAGGAACTATCCTCAAATAAAAACTACACAGAAGTATTCCGAGAAACTTCCTTGTGATGTGTGCATTCATCTCACAGGGTTGAACCTTTGGTTTGATTGAGCAGTTTTGAGACAATCTTTCCATAGAATCTGGAAGTGAATATTTGGAGAACCTTGAGATCTATTTTGGAGAAGGAGATATCTTTATATGAAAACTGCACAGAAGCATTCTGAGAAACATCTTTGTGAGGTGTGCAATGAAGTCACAGAGTTGAAACTATGTTTTGATTCAGCAGTTTTGAGTCTCTCTTTTTGCAGAATCTGCGAGTGGATATCTGGAGAACTTGGAGGCCTATTTGGAAAAGGAAATATCTTCACATATAAACTATGCAGAAGCATTTTGAGATTCTTCTTTGTGAGGTGTGCATGCAACTCACAGAGTTGAACTTATCTTTTCCTTGAGCACTTTCATATCTCATTTTCTGTAGAATCTGCAAGTGGATATTTGGAGCTCTTTGCACCCTGTGGTGGAAAGGGAACTATCTTCATATAAAAACTACAAAGAAGCATTCAGAGAAACTTCTTGTGATGAATGCATTCCTCACACAGAGCTGAACCTTTCTTTTTATTGAGCAGTATTGAAACGCTCTTTTTGCAGAATCACCAAGTGGATATTTGGAGAGCTTTGGGGCCTGTTTTGGAAAATGAAATATCTTCAAAGTAAAACTACACAGAACCATTCTGAGAAACTTCTTTATGATGTGTGCATTCAACTCTCAGAGTTGAACCTACCTTATGATTGAGCAATTTGGAAACACTCTTTTTGTAGAGCCTGCAAGTGGATATTTAGAACGATTTGAGGCCTATTGTGGAAAAGCAAATATCTTCACATAAAAACTACACAGAAGCATTCTGAGAAACTTCTTTGGCATGTGTGCATTCAACTAACAGTGTTGAACGTATCTTTTGATTGAGCAGCTTAGAATCTCTCTTTTTGTAGAAAATGCAAGTAGATATTTGGAGCCCCATTTTGCCCTATGGTAGAAAACAAAACATCTTCACATAAAATCTACACAGAAGCATTCTGAGAAACTTCTTTGTGATGTTTGCATTGAACTCCCAGAGTCGAACCTATCTTTTGATAGAGCACTTTTGTATCTCTCTTTTTGCGGAATCTGCAAGTGGATATTTGGAAAGCTTGAGGCCTATTGTGAAAAAGGAAATATCTTCACATAAAAACTACAGAGAAGCATTCTGAGAAACTTCTTTGTGAGGCATGGATTCAACCCACAGAGTTGGACTTATCATTGAGCAGTTTTGAATCTCTCTTTTTGTCGAATCTGCAAGTGGATATTTGGAGCCCTTTGCAACCTAGGGTGGAAAAGGAAATACCTTCAAATAAAAACTATATAGAAGCATTCCGTAAAACTTCTTTGTGACGTGTGCATTCGTCTCACAGAGTTGAACCTATCTAATGATTGAGCGGTTTTGAAACACTCATTTTGTAGAACCTGCAAGTGGATATTGGGAGTACTTTGTGGCCTTCTTTGGAAAAGGGAATATCTTCACATAAAAATTACAAAGAAGCATTCTGAGAAACTTCTTTGTGATGTGTGCATTCATCTCACAGTGTTGGACGTTTCTTTTGATAGGGCAGTTTTGAAACACTCTTTTTCTAGAATCTGCAAGTGGATATTTAGAGCGCTTTGAGGCCTAATGTGGAAAATCAAATATCTTCACATAAAAACTACACAGAGGCATTCTGAGAAACTTCTTTTTTGTGTGTGCATTCAACTCACATAGTTGAAGTAATCTTTGGATTTAGCTGTTTTGAATCTCCTTTTTGCAGAATCTGCAAGTTGATACTTGGAGCCCTGTTTCACCCTATAGTGGAAAAGCAAATATCTTCACATAAACAAACCCTACAGAGAAGCATTCAGAGAAAGTCCTTTGTGATGTGTGCATTGAACATGCAGAGTTGACACTATCTTTTGATTGTACAGTTTTGAATACGTCTTTTTGTAGAATCTGCAAGTGGAAGTTTGGAGCTGTTTGCACCCTGTGGTGTAAAAGGAAATATCTTCATATAAAAGCTACACAGAAGCATTCAGAAAGACTTCTTTGTGATGAATGCGTTCCTCACACAGAGTTGAATCTTCCTTTTTATTGAGTAGTATTGAAACCCTCTTTTTGCAGAATAACCAGGTGGATATTTGGAGAGCTTTGAGGCCTGTTTTGGAAAAGGAAATATCTTCAAATTAAAACCACACAGAAGCATTCTGAGAAGCTTCTTTGTGATGTGTGCATTCAACTCTCAGAGTTCAACGTGTCTTATGATGGAGCAGTTTGGAAACACTCTTTTTGTAGAAACTGCAAGTGGATATGTAGAGCGATTTGAGGCCTACTGTGGAAAAGCAAATATCTTCACATAACAACTACACAGAAGCACTCCTAGAAACTTCTTTGTGATGTGTGAATTCAACTCACAGAGCTGAACCTATCTTTTGATGGAGTAGCTTAGAATCTCTCTTTTTTTAGAATCTGCACGTGGATATTTGGAGCGCTTTGAGACCTAAAGTGGAAAAGCAAATATCTTCACATAAAATCTACATAGAGGCACTCTAAGAAACTTCTTTTTGATGTGTGCATTCACCTCACAGAGCTGAACCGATCCTTCGAGTGACCAGTTTTGAATCTCTCTTTTTATACAATCTGCAAGTGGATATTTGGAGCCCTTTGCGGCCTATGGTGGAAAAGGAAATATCTTCAAATAAAAACTACACAGAAGCATTCTGAGTCCCTATTTTGGGAAAGAAAATATCTTCACTTAAACAACTACGCAGAAATACTGTGAGAAACTTCTTTGGTATGTGAGCATTCAACTCACAGAGTTGAACCTATCTTTTGATGAGCAGTTTTGAATCTCTCATTTTGCAGAATCTGCAAGGGGATATTTGGAGCCCTTTGCGGCCTATGGTGGAAAAGGAAATACCTTCAAATGAAAAGCACACAGAGGCATTCTGAGAAACTTCCTCGTGATTGTGCATTCAACTCACAGAGTTAAACCTATCTTATGATTGACCAGTTTTGGAACACTCTTTTCATAGGATCTGCAAGTGGATATTTGGCGTGCTTTGAGGCCTATCGTGGAAAAGCAAATAACTTCAGATAAAAACTATACAGAAGCATTCTGAGAAACTTCTTTGTGATGTGTGCATTGATCTCACAGAGTTGAAAGTGTATTTTGATTGAGCAGTTTTGAAACACTCTTTTTGTAGAATCTGCAAGTGGATAATTGGGGAGATTTGAGGTATATTGTGGAAAAGCAAGTATCTTCATATAAAAACTATACAGAAGCTTTCTGAGAAACATCTTTGTGAGGTTTGCATTCAACTCACAGAGCTGGAACTATCTTTTGAGTGACCAGTTTTGATCTCTCTTTTTGTACAATCTGCAAGTGGATATTTGGAGCGTTTTGAGGCCTACATTTGAAAATCAAATATCTTCCCTTAAAAGCTACACAGAAACATTCTCAGAAATTGTTTGTCATGTGTGCTTTCAAATTACCAAGTTGAACCTACCTTGTGATTGAGCAGTTTTGAATCTCTCTTTTTGTGGAATCTGCAAGTGGATATTTTTAGCCATTTGCGGACTGTGGTGGAAAAGGAATTATCTTCAAATCCATTCTACACAGAAGCATTCAGACAAACTTTTTGTGATGAGTGCATTGGTCACACAGAATTGAACCTCTCCTTTGATTGAGCAATTCTGAAACACTCTTTCAGAGGGTCTGCAAGTGGATATTTTAGAGCTTTGGGACAATTGTGGAAAAGTAAATATCTTCACATAGAAACTACACGGAAGCATTCTGAGAAACTTCTTTGGAGGTGTGCATTCAACTCACAGAGTTGAACCTATCTTTTCATTGAGCAGTTTTGAATCTCTCTTTTTGTAGACTCTGCTTGCAGATACTTGGAGAGCTTTGAGGCCTATTGTGGAAAAGGAATCATCTTCACATAAAAACACACAGAAGCACTCTGAGAAACTTCTTTGTGAAGTGTGCATTCAACTCACAGAGTTGAACCTATCTTTTGATTGAGAAGCTTTGAATCTCTCTTTTTGTAGAAGCTGCATGTGGATATTTGGAGACGTTTGTGGCCTATGGTAGAAAAGGCAATATCTTCAAATAAAAACTAGACAGAAGCATTTTGAGAAATTTCTCTGTGCTGTGTGCATTCATATCACATGGTTGAAACTACCTTTTGGTTGAGCAGTTTTGAATCTCTCTTTTTGTAACATCTGCAAGTGGATATTTGGAGCCCTTTGCGGCCTATGGTGGAAAAGGAACTATCTTCAAATAAAAACTACACAGAAGCATTCTGAGTCCCTATTTTGGAAAAGAAAATATCTTCACTTAAACAACTACGCAGAAATACTGTGAGAAACTTCTTTGTTATGTGAGCATTCAACTCACAGAGTTGAACCTATCTTTTGATTGAGCAGTTTTGAATCTCTCATTTTGCAGAATCTGCAAGGGGATATTTGGAGCCCTTTGCGGCCTATGGTGGAAAAGGAAATACCTTCAAATGAAAAGCACACAGAGGCATTCTGAGAAACTTCCTCGTGATTGTGCATTCAACTCACAGAGTTAAACCTATCTTATGATTGACCAGTTTTGGAACACTCTTTTCATAGGATCTGCAAGTGGATATTTGGCGTGCTTTGAGGCCTATCGTGGAAAAGCAAATAACTTCAGATAAAAACTATACAGAAGCATTCTGAGAAACTTCTTTGTGATGTGTACATTCATCTCACAGAGATGACACTTTCTTTTGATTGAGCAGTTTTGAAACACTGCTTTTGTAGGGCCTGGAAGTTGATATTTGGAGGGCTTTGAAGTCTATTTTGGAAAAGAAAATATCTTCACTTAAAAACTACGCAGAAATACTGTGAGAAACTTCTTTGTTATGTGAGCATTCAACTCACAGAGATGAAACTATCTTTTGATTGAGCAGTTTTGAATCTCTCATTTTGCAGAATCTGCAAGAGGATATTTGGAGCCCTTTGCTACCTATGGTGGAAAAGGAAATACCTTCAAATAAAAACTATACAGAGGCATTCTGAGAAACTTCTTTGTGATTGTGCATTCAACTCACAGAGTTGAACTTATCTTTTCATTGAGCACTTTCATATCTCTTTTTTTGTAGAATCTGCAATTGGATATTTGGAGCTCTTTGCACCCTGTTGTGAAAAAGGATATATCTTCAAATAAAAACTACACAGGAGCATTCTGAGAAACTTCTTTGTGATGTGTACATTCAACTAACAGTGTTGTACCTAACTTTTGATTGAGCGGCTTAGAATCTCCCTTTTTTAAAAAATACAAGTAGATATTTGGAGCCCCTTTCGCCCTGTGGTAGAAAACAAAACATCTTCACATAAAAACTACACAGAAGCATTCTGAGAAACTTCTTTGTGATGTTTGCATTGAACTCACAGAGTCGAACCTATCTTTTGATAGAGCAGTTTTGTATCTCTCTTTTTGCAGAATCTGGAAGTGGATATTTGGAAAGCTTGAGGCCTATTGTGAAAAAGGAAGTATCTTCACATAAAAACTACAGAGAAGCATTCTGAGAAACTTCTTTGTGAGGCATGGATGCAACCCACAGAGTTGGACTTATCATTGAGCAGTTTTGAATCTCTCTTTTTGTCGAATCTGCAAGTGTATATTTGGAGCCCTTTGCAACCTAGGGTGGAAAAGGAAATACCTTCAAATAAAAACTCTATAGAAGCATTTCGAAAAACTTCTTTGTGATGTGTGCATTCAACTCACAGAGTTGAACCTATTTTTTGATTGAGCAGTTTTGAATCTCTCTTTTTGTAGAATCTGCAACTGGATATTTGGAGTCCTTTGCAGCCTATGGTGGAAAAGGAAATATCTTGAAAAAAAAAACTACACAGAAGGAGTCTGAGAAACTTCTTTGTTATGTGTGCATTCATCTCACAGAGTTGAACCTCTCTTTGGATTGAGCAGTTTTGAAACCCTCTTTTTGTAGAATCTGCAAGTGGTTATTTGGAGCGCTGTGAGGCTTATTGTCTAAAAGGAAATATCTTCACATAAAAACTACACAGAAGCATTCTGAGAGGCGTTTTTGTGTTGTGTGCTTTCATCTCACAGTGTTGAAACTTTCTTTTGATTGAGCAGTTATGAAACAGTTTTTGCAGAATCTGCAAGTGGATATTAGGAGCGCTTTTCCTACTCTGGAAAAGCAAATCTCTTCACATAAAAACTACACAGAAGCATTCTGAGAAACTTCTTTGTGGTATGTGCATTCATCTCACGCAGTTGAACTTTCTTTTGATTGAGCAGTTTTGTAACACTCTTTTTGTAGAATCTGCAAGAAGATATTTGGAGCGCTTTGGGGCCTACAGTGGAATAGGAAATATCTTCACATAAAGACTACACAGAAGCATTCTGAGAAGCTTTTTTGTGATGTGTGCATTCAACTCAGAGTTGAACCTTTCTTTTGATTGAGTAGTTTTGAAACACTCCATTTGTAGAATATGCAAGTGGATATTTGGAGCACTTTGAGGCCAACAGTTGAACAGCAAATATTTTACATAAAAACTACAGAGAAGAATTCTGAGAAACTTCTTTTTGATGTGTGCATTTATCTCACACAGTTGAACTTCTCTTTTGTTTGAGCAGTTTTGAAACACTCTCTTTGTAGAATCTGCAAGTGGCTATTTGGAAGGCTTTGAGGCCTATTTTGGAAAATGAAATATTTTCACATAAAAAGTATACAGAAGCATTCTGAGAAATTCTTTGTGATGTGTGCATTCAACTCACTGATGTGAATCTATCTTTTGATGAGCAGTTTTGAAACTCTCTTTTTGTAGTATCTGCAGTTGTGTATTTGGAGCCCTTTGAGGCCTATGGTGGAGAAAGAAATGCCTTCACATGAAAACCCCACAGAAGTATTCTGAGAAACTCCTTTGTGATATGTGCATTCAACTCACAGATTTGAACCTATCTTTTGATGGAGCCATTTTGAAACTGTCTTTGTCTATTATCTGCAAGTGGATATTTCTAGCCTTTTGTGGCCTATCGTGGAAAAGGAAGTGCCTTCACATAAAAAACAGACAGAAGTATTCTGAGAAACTTCTTTATGATGTGTGCATTCATCTCACAGAGATGAACCTTTCTTTTGATTGAGCAGTATGGAAACAATCTTTTTGAAGTATCTGCAATGAATATTTGGAGCACTTTGAGGCCTATTGTGTAAAAGGAAATATCTTCACATAAGAACTACACAGAAGCATTCTGAGAAACTTCGTGGTGATGTATGCATTCATCTCACAGAGATGAATCTTTCTTTTCATTTAGCAGTTTTGAAACACTCTGTTTGTAGAATCTGCAAGTGGATAATTGGAGCTCTTTGAGGCCTATAGTTGAAAAGAAAATATCTTCACATGAAATCTACACAGAAGCATTCTGAGAAACCTCTTTGTGAAGTGTGCATTCATCTCACAGAGTTGAACCTTTCTTTTGATTGAGCAGTTTTGAAAAACTCTTTTTGTAGAATCTGCAAGTTGATATTTGGAGCGCTTAGATTCCTACTGTGGAAAAGGAAATATCTTCACATAAAAGCTGCACAGAATCATTATGAGAAAGTTCTGTGCAATGTGTGCATTCATCTCACAGTGTTGAACCTTTCTTTTCATTCAGCAGTTTTGAAACTTTCTGTTTGTAGAGTCTGCAAGTGGATATTTGGAGCTCTTTGAAGCCTGTGGTGGAAATGGAAATATCTTCACATAAAAACTACACAGAAGCATTCTGAGAAACATCTTTGTTAAGTGTGCTGCATTAAACTAACAGAGTTGAAACTATCTTTTGATTGAGCAGTTTTGAATCTCTCTTTTTGTAGAATCTGCAAGAGGATATTTGGAGCCCTTTGTGGCCTACGATGGAAAAGGACATACCTTCACATAAAAACTACAAAAAAGATTTCTGAGGAAATTATTTGTCATGTGTGCCTTCATCTCACAGAGTTGAACCTTTGTTTTGATTGAGCAGTTTGGAAACACTCTTTTTGTAGTATCTACAAGTGGATGTTTGGATTGCTTTGAGGCCTATGGTGGAAAAGGAAATATCTTCACATGAGAACTACACAGAAGCATTCTGAGAAACTTCTTTGTGATGTGTGCATTGAACTCACAGGTTTGAACCTATCTTTTGATTCAGCAATTTTGAAACTCTCTTTTTGTAGAATCCGCAAGTGGATATTTGGAACTATTTGCTACCTATGGTGGAAAAGGAGATATCTTCACATAAAAACTACAGAGAAACATTCTGAGAAACTTCTTTGTGATGTATGCATTCATCTCCCAGAGCTGAACCTTTCTTTTGATTAAGCAGTTATGAAACAGTCTTTTTAAAGGATCAGCAAATGGATATTTGGAGTACTTTTAAACCTATTGTGTAAAAGGAGATATCTTCCCATAAAAACTACGCAGAACAATTCTGAGAAACTACTTTGCAATGTGTGCATTCATCTCACAGAGTTGAACCTTTCTTTTGATTGAGCAGTTTTGAAACACTCATTTTGTAGAATCTGCAAGTGGATATTTGGAGCTCTTTGTGGCCTATGGTGGAAATGGGTATATCTTCACGTAAAAACTATGCGGAAGCATTCAGAGAAACTTCTCTGTGATGCGTGCATACAACTCACAGAGTTGAAACTTTCTTTTGGTTGAGCAGTTTTGAAACTCTCTTTTTGTAGAATCTGCAAGTGGATATTTGGAGCCCTTTGTGGCCAATGGTGGAAAGGGAAATATTTTCACATAAAAACTACACAGAAGCCAACTGGCAAATGAGGTGGCAGTCAAGATGGCCAAATAGGAGCACCTCTGTTCTACAGCTCCCAGTGTGAGTGACACAGAAGATGGGCAATTTCTTCATTTCCATCTGAGATACCTGGTTCATCTCACTAGGAATTGCCAGACAGTGGGCGCAGGATAGTGGGTGCAGTGCACCATGAGTGGGCAGAAGCAGAGTGAGTCATTTCCTCACTTGGGAAGTGCAAGTGGTCAGGGAGTTCCCTTACCTAATCAAATAAAGGGGCAACAGATGGCACCTGGGAAATCCAGTCACTCCCACCATAATACTGCTCTTTTTCAATGGGCTTAAAAAATGGCACACCAGGAGATTATATCCCACACCTTGCTTGGAGGGTCCTACGTCCATGGTGTCTCACTGATTGCTAGCACAGCAGTCTGTGATCAAACTACAAGGTGGCAGTGAGGCTGGGGGTGGGGCAACCCCATTGCCCAGGCTTGCTTAGGTAAACAAAGCTGCTGGAAAGCTCGAAGTAGGTGTAGCCCACCACAGCTCTACGAGGCCTGCCTTCCTCTGTAGGCTCCATCTCTGGGGGCAGGGCACAGACAAACAAAAAGGCAGCAGTAACCTCTGCAGACTTAAATGTCCCTGTCTGACAGCTTTGAAGAGAGAAGTGGTTCTACCGGCACACAGCTGGAGATCTGAGAATGGGCAGACTGCCTCCTCAAGTGGGTACCTGACCTCTGAACCCCGAGCAGCCTAACTGGGAGACACCCCTCAGTAGGGGCAGACTGACACCTCACACGGCCGTATAGTCCTCTGAGACAAAATTTCCAGAGCAAAGATCAGACAGCAGCATTCGTGGTTTACGAAAATCTGCTGTTCTGCAGTCACCGCTGCTGATACCCAGGCAAACAGGATCTGGAGTGTACCTCTAGCAAACTCCAACAGACCTGCAGCTGAGGGTCCTGTCTGTTAGAAGGAAAACTAAGAAACAGAAAGGACATCCACACCAAAAACCCATCTGTATATCACCATCATCAAAGACCAAAAGTAGATAAAACCACAAAGATGGGGAAAAAACAGAGCAGAAAAACTAGAAACTCTAAAAAGCAGAGTGCCTTTCCTCCTCCAAAGGAATGCAGTTCCTCACCAGCAATGGAACAAAGCTGGACGGAGAATGACTTTGACGAGTTGAGAGAAGAAGGCTTCAGACGATCAAATTACTCCGAGCTGCAGGAGGAAATTCAAACCAAAGGCAAAGAAGTTAAAAACTTTGAAAAAATTTAGACGAATGTATAACTAGAATAACCAACACAGAGAAGTGCTTAAAGGAGCTGATGGAGCTGAAAGCCAAGGCTCCAGAACTACTTGAAGAATGCAGAAGCCTCAGGAGCCGAGGTGATCAACTGGAAGAAAGGATATCAGTGATGGAAGATGAAATGAATGAAATAAAGTGAGAAGGGAAGTTTAGAGAAAAAAGAATAAAAAGAAATGAACAAAGACTCCAAGAAATATGAGACTATGTGAAAAGACCATATCTATGTCTGATTGGTGTACCTGAAAGTGATGCGGAGAATGGAACCAAGTTGGAAAACACTCTGCAGGATATTATCCAGGAGAACTTCCCCAATCTAGAAGGCAGACCAACATTCATATTCAGAAAATACAGAGAATGCCACAAAGATACTCCTCGAGAAGAGCAACTTCAAGACACATAATTGTCAGATTCACCAAAGTTGAAATGAAGGAAAAAATATTAAGGGCAGCCAGAGAGAAAGGTCGGGTTACCCTCAAAGGGAAGCCCATCAGACGAACAGCCGATCTCTTGGCAGAAAGTCTACAAGCCAGAAGAGAGTGTGGGCCAATATTCAACATTTTTAAAGAAAAGAATTTTCAACCCAGAATTTCATATTCAGCCAAACTAAGCTTCATAAGTGAAGGAGAAATAAAATACTTTACAGACGATCAAATGCTGAGAGATTTTGTCACCACCAGGCCTGCTCTAAAAGAGCTCCTGAAGGAAGCACTAAACATGGAAAGGAACAATCAGTACCAGCCACTGCAAAATCATGCCAAATTGTAAAGTCCACTGTGGCTAGTAAGAAACTGCATCAAGTAACGAGAAAAATAACCAGCTAACATCATAACGACAGGATCAAATTCACACATAACAATATTAACTCTAAATGTAAATGGACTAAATGCTTCAATTAAAGACACAGACTGGCAATTTGGATAAAGAGTCAAGACCCATCAGTGTGCTGTATTCAGGAAACCCATCTCACATGCAGAGACAAACATAGGCTCAAAATGAAAGGATGGTGGAAGATCTACAAAGCAAATGGAAAACAAAAAAAGGGGTTGCAATCCTAGTCTCTGATAAAACAGACTTTAAACCAACAAAGATCAAACGAGACAAAGAAGGCCATTACATAATGGTAAAGGGATCAATTCAGCAAGAAAAGCTAACTATCCTAAATGTATATGCACCCAGATTCTTAAAGCAAGTCCTGAGTGATGTACAAAGAGACTTACACTCCCACACAATAATAATTGGAGACTTTAACACCCCACTGTCAATATTAGACAGATCAACGAGACAAAAAGTTAGCAAGGATCCCCAGGAATTGAACTCAGCTCTGCACCAAGCGGGCCTAATAGACATCTACAGAACTCTCCACCCCAAATCGACAGAATATACATTTTTTTCAGCACCACACCACACCTATTCCGAAATTGACCACATCGTTGGAAATAAAGCTATCCTCAGCAAATGTAAAAGAACAGAAATTATAACAAACTGTCTCTCAGACCACAGTGCAATCAAACTAGAACTCAGGATTAAGAAACTCACTCAAAACCGCTCAACTACATGGAAACTGAACAACCTGCTCCTGAATGACTACTGGGTACATAACAAAATGAAGGCAGAAATAAAGATGTTCTTTGAAACCAACAAGAACAAAGACACAACATACCAGAATCTCTGGGACACATTCAAAGCAGTGTGTAGAAGGAAATTTATAGCACTAAATGCCCACAAGAGAAAGCAGGAAAGATCCAAAATTGATACCCTAACATCACAATTAAAAGAACTAGAAAAGCAAGAGCAAACGCATTAAAAAGCTAGCAGAAGGCAAGAAATAACTAAAATCAGAGCAGAACTGAAGGAAATAGAGACACAAAAAAACCTTCAAAAAATTAATGAATCCAGGAGATTGTTTTTTGAAAAGATCAACAAAATTGATAGACCGCTAGCAAGACTAATAAAGAAGAAAAGAGAGAAGAATCAAATAGATGCAATAAAAATGATAAAGTGAGTATCACCATCGATCCCACAGAAATACGAACTACTATCAGAGAATACTACATAAACCTCTACACAAACAAACTACAAAATCTAGAAGAAATGGATAAATTCCTTGACACATACACCCTCCCAAGACTAAACCAGGAAGAAGTTGAATCTCTGAATAGACCAATAACAGGCTCTGAAATTGTGGTAATAATCAATAGCTTACCAACCAAAAAGAGTCCAGGACCAGATGGATTCACAGCCGAATTCTACCAGAGGTACAAGGAGGAACTGGTACCATTCCTTCTGAAATTATTCCAATGAATAGAAAAAGAGGGAATCCTCCCTAATTCATTTTATGAGGCCAGCATCATCCTGATACCAAAGCCGGGCAGAGACACAACCAAAAAACAAAATTTTAGACCAATATCCTTGATGAACATTGATGCAAAAATCCTCAATAAAATACTGGCAAACCGATTCCAGAAGCACATTAAAAAGCTTATCCACCATGATCAAGTGGGCTTCATCCCTAGGATGCAAGGCTGGTTCAATATATGCAAATCAATAAATGTAATCCAGCATATAAACAGAACCAGAGACAAAAACCACATGATTATCTCAATAGATGCAGAAAAGGCCTTTGATAAAATTCAACAACCCTTCATGCTAAAAATACTCAATAAATTAGGTATTGTTGGGACATATCTCAAAATAATAAGAGCTATCTATGACAAACACACAGCCAATATCATACTGAATGGGCAAAAACTGGAAGCATTCCCTTTGAAAACTGGCACAAGATAGGGATGCCCTCTCTCACCACTCCTATTCAACATAGTGTTGGAAGTTCTGGCCAGGGCCATTAGGCAGGAGAAGGAAATAAAGGGTATGCAATTAGGAAAAGAGGAAGTCAAATTGTCCTTGTTTGCAGATGACATGATTGTATATCTAGAAAACCCCATTGTCTCAGCCCAAAATCTCCTGAAGCTGATAAGCAACTTCAGCAAAGTCTCAGGATACAAAATCAATGTACAAAAATCACAAGCATTCTTATACACCAATAACAGACAAACAGAGAGCCAAATCATAAGTGAACTCCCATTCACAATTGCTTCAAAGAGAATAAAATATGTAGGAATCCAACTTACAAGGGACGTGAAGGACCTCTTCAAGGAGAACTACAAACCACTGTTCAATGAAATAAAAGAGGATACAAACAAATGGAAGAACATTCCATGCTCATGAATAGGAAGAATCAATATCGTGAAAATGACCATACTGCCCAAGGTAATTTATAGATTCAATGTCATCCCCAACAAGCTACCAATGACTTTCTTCACAGAATTGGAAAAGACTACTTTAAAGTTCATATGGAACCAAAAAAGATCCTGCATCACCATGTCAATCCTAAGCCGCAAGAACAAAGCTGGAGGCATCAGTCTACCTGACTTCGAACTATACTACAGGGATACAGTAACCAAGACATCATGGTACTGGTACCAAAACAGAAATATAGATCAATGGAACAGAACAGAGCCCTCAGAAATAATGCTGCATATCTACAACTATCTGTTCTTTGATAAACCTGAACAAAACAAGCAATGGGGAAAGGATTCCCTATTTAATAAATGGTGCTGGGAAAACTGGCTAGCCATATGTAGAAAGCTGAAACTGGATCCCTTCCTTACACCTTATACAAAAATTAATTCAAGATGGATTAAAAAGTTAAACGTTAGACCTAAAACCATAAAAATCCTAGAAGAAAACCTAGGCATTACCATTCAGGACATAGGCATGGGCAAGGACTTCATGTTTAAAACAACAAAAGCAATGGCAACAAATGCCATAATTGACAAATGGGATCTAATTAAACTAAAGAGCTTCTGCACAGCAAAAGAAACTACCAGCAGAGTGAACAGGCAATGTACAAAATGGGAGATAGTTTTCACAACCTACTTATCTGACAAAGGGCTAATATCCAGAATCTACAATGAACTCAAACAAATTTACAAGAAAAAAACAAACAAAGCC
Organism: Homo sapiens; assembly: GCF_000001405.40. Lineage (NCBI taxonomy): Eukaryota > Metazoa > Chordata > Mammalia > Primates > Hominidae > Homo > Homo sapiens. The sequence goes on from NC_000015.10 coordinate 17,018,905, forward strand.
ATCAAAAAGTGGGTGAAGGACATCAACAGACACTTCCCAAAGAAGACATTTATGCAGCCAAAAACACATGAAAAAATGCTCATCCTTAACTGGCCATCAGAGAAATGCAAATGAAAACCACAATGAGATACCACCTCACACCAGTTAGGATGGCAATCATTAAAAAGTCAGGAAACAACAGGTGTTGGAGAGGATGTGGAGAAATAGAAACATTTTTACACTTTTGATGGGGCTGTAAACTAATTCAGCCATTGTGGAAGTCAGTGTGGCGATTCCTCAGGGAAGTAGAGCTAGAAATACAATTTGACCCAGCCATCCCATTACTGGGCACGTACCCAAGGACTATAAATCATGCTGCTATAAAGACACATGCACACGTATGTTTATTGCAGCACTATTCACAATTGCAGACTTGGAAACAACCCAAATGTCCAGCAATAACAGAGTGGATTAAGAAAACGTGGCACATATGTACAATGGAATACTATGGAGCCATACAAAAATGATGAGTTCATGTCCTTTGTAGGGACATGGATGAAACTGGAAATCATCATTCTCAGTAAACTATTGCAAGGACAAAAAAACCAAACACTGCATGTTCTCACTCATAGGTGGGAATTGAGCGATGAGAACACATGGACACAGGAAGGGGAACATCACACTCTGGGGACTGATGTGAGGTGGGGGGAGGAGGGAGGGATAGCATTAGGAGATATACCTAATGCTAAATGACGAGTTAATGGGTGCAGCACACCAACATGGCACATGTACACATATGTAACTAACCTGTACAATGTGCACATGTACCCTAAAACTTAAAGTATAATAATAATAAAATAAAATATATTAAAAAAAAACTACACAGCAGTACTCTGAGAAACTTCTTTGCAATGAATGCATGCAACTCTCAGAGTTGAACATATCTTTTGATTGAACAGTTTTGAAAATCTATTTTTGTAGAATCTGGAAGTGGATATATGGAGCCCTTTGCGGCCTATAGTGCAAAAGGAAACATCTTCACATAAAATCTACACAGAAGTGTTCTGAGAAATTTCTTGGTGATGTGTGCATTCATCTCACAGAGTTTAATATTTCTTTTGATTGTGCAGCTTGAAACACTGTTTTTGTGGAATCTGCTAGTGGATACTTGGAGTGCCATGTGGCCTATTGTGGAAAACAAAATATCGTCACATAAAAACTTCACAGAAGCATTCTGAGAAACTTCTTTGTTATGTGTGTATTCAACTCACAGAGTTGAACCTGTCTTTATAGAGAGCAATTTTGAAACTGTCTTTTTGTAGAATCTGCAAGGGGATATATGGAACCCTTTGTGGGCTATGGTGTAAAAGGAAATATCTTCACAAAAAAACTACACAGAAGCATTGTGAGAAACTTCTCTGTGAAGGGTGTATTCATCTCACAGACTTGAACCTTTCCTTTGATTGAGCAGTTTGGAAACTTTTTTTTGTAGAATCTGCAAGAGGATATTTGGAAAGCTTTGGGGACTATCGTGAAAAGGAAATATCTTCACATAAAAACTACACAGAAGCATTCTGAGAAGCTTGTTTGCGATGTTTGCATTCATTTCACATTGCGATGTGTGCATTCATCTGACAGAGTTGAAACTTTCTTTGTCTGAGCAGTTTGGAAACACTCTTTTTGTAGAATCTTCAAGTGGATATTTGCAGCCCTTTGTGGCTTATGGTGGAAAAGGAAATATCTTCAGATAAACACTACACAGGGGCATTCTGAAAAACTGCTTTGTGATGTCTGCATTTATCTCACAGAGTTGAACTTTTCTTTTGATTGAACAGTTTTGAAACACTCCTTTTGTGGAATGTGAAAGTGGATAGTTGGAGGGTTTTGAGGCCTACGGTGGAAAAGGAAATATCTTCACATAAAAACTACAAAGAAGGATTCTGAGAAACTTCTTTGTGATGTGTGCATTCAACTCACAGATTTGAACATATCTTTGGATTGAGCAGCTTTGCAACTGTCTTTTTGTGCAATCTGCAAGTGGATATTTTGAGCCCTTTGTGGCCTGTGGTGGAAAAGGAAATATCTTCAGACAAAAACTACACAGAAGCATTCTGAGAAACTTCTTTGTGATATGTACATTCATCTCACAGAGTAGAAACTTTCTTTTGATTGAGCAGTTATAAAATACCCTTATTGTAGAATGATCATGTGGATATTTGCAGGGCTTTGAGGCCTACTGTGGAAAAGTTAATATCTTCACATAAAAACTACTCAGAATCATTCTGAGAAACTTCTTTGTGATGTGCAAATTCATCTGATTGACTTCAACCTTTCTTTTGTTTGGGCAGTTTAGAAATACTCTTTTTATAGAATCTGCAAGTGAATATTTGGAGGGATTTGAGGCCTATGGCGGAAAAGGAAATATCTTTACATAAAAACTACACAAAAGCATTCTGAGAAACTTCTTTGTGATGTGTGCATTCAACTCACAGAGCTAAACCTATCTTTTGATTGATCACTTTTGAAACTCTCTTTTGTAGAATCTGCAAGTGGATATTTGGAGTGCTCTGAGGCCTATTGTGGAAAAGAAAATATCCTCACATAAAAACTACACAGAAGCATTCTGAGAAACTTCTTTGTGATGTGTGCATTCATCTCAAGGAGTTGAACATTTCTTTTGATTGTGCAGCTTGGAAACCCTGTTTTTGTAGAATCCGCAAGTGGATATTTGGAGCGCTATGTGGCCTATGATGGAAAAGGAAATATCTTCACGTAAAAACTTCACAAAAGCATTCTGAGAAACGTCTTTGTTATGTTTATATTCAACTCACATAATTGAACCTATCTTTTGATATAGCAGTTTTGAAACTCTCCTTTTGTAGAATCTGCAAGTGGATATTTGGAGCCCTTTGCAGCCTATGGTGTAAAAGGAAATATCCTCACATAAAAACTACACAGAAGCATCCTGAGAAACTTCTTTGTGATGTGTGCATTCCTCTCACAGAGCTGAACTTTTCTTTTGATTGTGCAGTTTGGAAACACTCCTTTTGAAGAATCTGTACGTGGATATTTGGAGGGTTTTGAGTCCTATGGTGGTAAAGGAAATGTCGTCACATGAAAAATACACAGAGGCATTCTGAGAAATTTATTTGTGACGTGTGGATTCACCTCCCAGAGTTGAACCTATCATTCGATTAAGAAGTTTTGAAACTCTCTTTTTGTAGAACCTGCAAGTGGATATTTGGAGCCATTTGTGGCCTCTGGCATAAAAGGAAATATCTTCACTTTAAAACTACACAGAAACATTCTGAGAAACTTCTTTCTGACATGTGCATTCATCTCACAGATTTGAAATTTTCTGTTGATTCAGCAGTTTTGAGACACTTTTTTTTGTAGAATCTGCAGTTGGATATTTGGAGCGCTTTAAGGCCTATTGTGGAAAAGGAAATATCTTCACATAAAAATTATACAGAAACATTCTGAGAAACTTATATGCGACGTGTGCATTCATCTGACAGAGTTGAACCTTTCTTTAGTTTGAGCAGTTTGGAAACACTCTTTTTGTAGAATCTGCTATTTAATATTTGGAGCACTTTGAGGACTATGGAGGAAAAGGAAATACCTTTACATAAAAACTACACAAAACTATTGTGACAAACTTCTTTGTGGTGTGCACATTCAACTCACAGGGTTGAACCTATCTTTTGGTTGACCAGTTTTGAAACTCTCTTTTTGTAGAATCTGCAAGTGGATATTAGGAAACCCTTGTGGCCTATGGTGTAAAAGGAAATATCTTCACATAAAAACTACACAGAAGCATTCTGAGAAACTTCTTTGAAATGTGAGCATTCATCTCACAGATTTGCACCTTTCTTTTGATTGAGCAGTTTGAAACTCTCTTTTTCTGTAATCCACCAGTGTATATATGGAGCATTTTGTGGCCTATGGTAGAAAAGGAAATATCTTCTCATAAAAAGTACACAGAAGCATTCTGAGAAACTTCTTTGTGATGTATTCATTCTACTCACAGAGTTGAACCTATTTTCTGATTGAGCAGTTTTGAAACTATCTTTCTCAATAATCTGCAAGTGGATATTGGGAGCCCTTAGTGGCCTAATAAGGAAAAGGAAATATCTTCACATAAAAACTACACAGAAGAATTTTGAGAAACTTCTTTGTGATGTGTGCATTCATCTCAGAGTGTTGAACGTTTCTTTCGATTGAGCAGTTTGGAAACGCTCTTTTTGCAGAATGTGCAAGTTGATATTTGTAGCGCTTTGAGGCCTCCAGTGGAAAAGGAAATATCTTCACATAAAAACTACACAGAAGCATTCTGAGAAATTTCTCTGTGATCTGTGCATTCAACTCACAGGGTTGAATCTATCTTTTGATTGAGCAGTTTTGAGTCTCTCTTTCTGTGGAATCTGCAAGTGGATATTTTGAGCCCTTTGCGGCTTATGGTGGAAAAAGAATTATCATCACATAAAAACTACACAGAAGAATTCTGAGAAAGTTTTTGTGATGTGTGCATTCAACTCACAGCCTTGAACCTATCTTTTGATTGGGCAGTTTTGAAACTCTCTTTTTGAAGAATCTGGAATGGGTATTAGAAGGCCTTTGTGGCATATGGTGCAAAAGGCAATATCTTCACATAAAAACTACAAAGAAGCATTCTGAGAAACTTCTCTGTGATGTGTGCATTCAACTCAGAGAGTTGAAGCTACCTTTGATTGAGCAGTTTTGAATCTCTCTTTTTGTAGAATCTGCAAGTGGAAGTTTGGAGCCCTTTGCAGCCAATGGTGGAAAAGGAGATATCTTCAAATGAAAACTACACATAAATATTCTGAGAAACTTCTTGTTGTTGTGTGCATTAATCTCACACACTTGAACTTATCTTTTGATTGAGCAGTTTTGAAACCCTCTGTCTGTGGGATCTGAAAGTGGATATCTGGAGCGCTTTGGTGCCTATTGTGGAAAAGGAAATATCATCACAAAAAAACTACATGGAAACATTCCGAGAAACTTCTTTGGGATGTATGCATTCATCTCACAGAGTTGAACCTTTCTGTAGATTGAACAGTTTTCACATTCTTTTTGTAGAATCTGCAAGTGGATATTTGTAGTGCTTTGAGGCCTACTGTGGAAAAGAAAATATCTTCACAGAAAAATTACACAAAAGCATTCTGAGGAAGTTCTTTGCGATGTGTGCATTCATCTGACAGAGTTGAACTTTTCTTTTGTTTGAGCAGTTTGGGATCACTCTTTTTGTAGAATCTGTAAATGGATATTTGGAGCGTTTTGAAGTCTATGGTGTAAAAGTAAATATCTACACATAAAAACTACATAGAAGCATTCTGAGAAAATTCTTTGTGATGTGTGCATTCTCCTCACAGAGTTGAACCTATCTTATCATTAAGCAGTTTTGAGACACTCTTTTTGTAGAAACTGTAAGTGGATATTTGGAGCGCTTTGAGGTCTATTGAATAAAAGGAACTATCTTCATATAAAAGCTACACAGAATCATTCTGAGAAACTTCATTGTGATGAGTGCATTCATAACACAGAGTTAAACCTATTTTTGATTCAGTAGTTTTGAATCTCTCTTTTTGTATAATCTGCAAGTAGATATTTGGAGCCCTTTTCAGCCTATGGAGGAAAAGGAAATATCTTGAAATAAAAACTACATGGAAGCATTCTGAGAATCTTCTTTGTGATGTGTGCATTCATCCCACAGTGTTGAACCTTTCTTTTGGTAGAGCAGTTTTGAAACACTGTTTTTGAAAAATCTGCAAGAGGATATTTTGAGTGCTTTGAGGCCTATTGTGGACAAGTAAATATGTTCACATAAAAACTATAAAGAGGCATTCTGAGTAACTTCATTTGATGTGTAAATTCACCAAACCGAGATGAACCTATCTTATGATTGAGCAGTTTTGAAACACTCTCTTTGTATAATCTTCCAGTTGATACTTGAAGCGCTTTGAGGCCTATTGTGGAAAAGAAATATCTTCACATAAAAAGTGCACAGAAGCATTCTGAGAATCCTCTTTCTGCTGTGTGCATTCATCTCACAGAGTTGAACCTTTCTTTTGGTAGAGCAGTTTTGAAACACGGTTTTTGTAAAATCTGCAAGAGGATATTTTGAGCGCTTTGATGCCTATTGTGAAAAAGTAAATATTTTCACACAAAAGCTATGAAGAGGCATTCTGAGTAACTTCTTTGTGATGTGTGCATTCATCTCACAGAGTTGAACCTTTCTTTTGATTGAGCAGTTTTGAAACACTCTTTCTGTAGAATCTGCAACTGGATATTTTGAGCACTTTGAGGACTATAGTGGAAAAGGAAATATCTTCACATAAAAACTACACAGAAGCATTCTGTGAAACTTCTTTGTCATGTGAGCATTCAACACACAGAGTTGAACCTATCTTTTCATAGAGCAGTTTTGAATCTCTCTTTTTGTAGAATCTGCAAGAGGATATTTGGATACCTTTGCAGCCTATGGAGGAAAAGGAAATATCTTCAAATAAGTACTACACAGAAGGATTCTAAGAAACTTCTTTGTGATGTGTGCATTCATTTGACATAGTTGAAACTTTCTTTTGATTGAGCAGTTTTGAAACTCAGTTTTTGTAGAATCTGCAAGTGGACATTTGGAGCCCTTTGAGGCCTACTGTGGAGAAACACATATCTTCACATAAAAACCACACAGAGGCATTCTGAGAAACTTCTTTGTGATGTGTGCATTCATCTCACAGTGTTGAAACTTTCTTTTGATTGAGGAGTCTTGAAACACTGTTTTTGTAGACTCTCCAAGAGGATATTTGCAGCGCTTTGAGGCCTATTGTGGAAAAGGAAACAATTTCACATAAAAACTACTCTGAAACATTCTGAGAAACTAATTTGTGATGAGTGCATTCATCACACAGATTTGAGCTTTTCTTTTGATTGAGCAGTTTTGAAACACTCTTTTTGTAGAATCTGCAAGTGGATATTTGGATTGATTTTAGGCCTATTTTGGAAAAGGAAGTATCTTCACATAAAAACTACACAGAAGCATTCTGAGAAACTTCTTTGTGATGTGTGAATTCAACTCACAGAGTTGAACCTATCTTTTGATTGAGCAGTTTTGAATCTCACTTTTTTTATTTTCTGCAAGTGGACATATAGATCCATTTGTGTCCTATGGTGAAAAAGGAAATATCTTCAAATAAAAACTACACAGAAACTTTCTGAGAAACTTCTTTGTGATGTGTGCATTCATCTCACAGAGTTGAACCTATCTTATTATTGAGCAGTTTCGAAACACTCCTTTTGTAGTATCTGTAAGTGGATATTTGGAGCACTTTGAAGCCTAGTTTGGGAAAGGAAATATATTCACATAAAAACTACACAGCAGCATTCTGGGAAACTTCCTTGTGATGTGTGCATTCATCTCCCAGAGTTGAACATGTCTTTTGATTGAGCAGATCTGAAACGCTCTTTTTGTAGAATCAGCAAGTGGATATTTGGTGGTCTTTGAGGCCTATTTTGGAAAAGGAAATATCTTCACAAAAAAAAAAAACTACACAGAAGCATTCTGAGAAACTTCTTTTTGATGTGTGTATTCAACTCACGGTCTTGAACCTATCTTTTGATTGAGCAGTTTTAGTTCTCTCTTTTTCTAGAATCTGGAAGTGGATATTTGGAGCCTCTTGCGGTCTATGGAGGCAAAGGAAATATCTTCAAATAAAAACTACACAGAAGAATTCTCAGAAATTTCTAGGTGATGTGTGCATTCATCTCACAGAGTTGAACCTGTCTTTTGATTGAGCAGACTTCAAACAATCTTTTTGTAGAATCAGCAGGTGGATATTTGGTGGGCTTTGAGGCTTTTTGGAAATGGAAATATGTTCACATAAAAACTACACAGAAGCATTCTGAGAAATTTCCTTTTGATGTACGTATTCACCACCCAGAGATAGAACTTTCTTTTGATTGAGCAGTATGAAGCACTCTTTTTGTAGAATCTGCAACTGGATATTTGGAGACCTTTGTGGCTTACAGTGGAAAGGGAAATACCTTAACATAAAAAGTACATGGAAGCATTCTGAGAAACTTCTTTGTGATGTGTGCATTCAACTCACAGCCTTGAACCTATCTTTTGATTGAGCAGTTTTGGATCTCTTTTTTTCTAGAATCTGCAAGTGGATATTTGGAGCCCTTTGCGGTCCATGGAGGAAAGGAAATATCTTCAAATAAAAACTACACAGAAGCATTCTGAGAAACTTCTTGGTGATGTGTGCATTCAACTCACAGAGGTGAACGCATCTTATGATTGAGCAGTTTTGAAACACTGTCTTTCAAGAATCTAAAAGTGGATATTTGGAGCGCTTTGAGTACTATTGAGGAAAAGGAAATATCTTCAAATGAAAACTACACAGAAGCATTCTGAGAAACTTCTTTGTGATGTGTGCATTCATCTCACAGAGTTGAACCTTTCTTTTGATGGAGGAGTTTTGAAACACTCCTTTTGTAGATTCTGCAAGTGGATATTTGCTGCGCACTGAAGCCTATTGTGGAAAAGGCAATATCTTCACATAAAAACTACACAGAAGCATTCTGAGAAACTTCTTTTTGATGTGTGCATTCATTTCACATAGTTGAACCTTTATTTTCATTGAGCAGTTTTTAAATACAGTTTTTGTAGAATCTGCAAGTGGATATTTGGAGAGATTTGAGGTCTACTGTGTAAAAGCAATTATCTTCACATAAAAACTACACAGAAGAATTCTGAGAAAATTTTGTGATGTGTGCATTCATCTCACACAGTTGAAACATTATTTTGATTGAGCAGTTTTGAAACACTCTTTCTGTAGAATCTGCAAGTGGATATTTTGAGCATTTTGAGGCCTATAGTGGAAAAGGAAATATCTTCACATAAAAACGACACTGAATCATTCTGAGAAACTTCGTTGTGATGTGTGCATTCATCTCACAGAGTTGAATCTATGTTATGGTTTAGCAGTTTTCAAACACTCTCTTTGTAAAATCTACAAGTGGATCCTTGGAACGATTTGAGGCATATTGTGGAAAAGGAAATATGTTCACATAGAAACTACACAAAAGCATTCTGAGAAAGTTCTTTGTGATGTGTGCGTTCAACTCACAGAGTCTAATCTGTCTTTTGATTGAGCAGTTTTTAAATAATGTTTTTGCAGAATCTGCAAGTGGATATTTGGTAGACTTTGAGGCCTATTTTGGAAAAGGAAATATCTTCACATAAAAACTACACAGAAGCATTCTGAGAAACTTCTTTGTGATGTGAACATTCAACTCACAGAGTTGAACCTATATTTCGATTGAGCAGTTATGGATTTCTCTTTTTCTAGGATTTGCAAGTGGATATTTTGAGTACTTTGTGGTCCATGGAGGCAAAGGAAATATCTTCAAATAAAAACTACACAGAAGCATTCTGAGGAACTTCTTTGTGATGTGTGCATTCATCTCACAGAGATGAAAATATCTTATGACTGAGCAGGTTTGAAACACTCTCTTTGCAGAATCTTCAGGTGGATATTTGGAGCCCTTTGTGGCCTATTGTGTAAAAGGAAATATCTTCACATAAAACCTACACAGAATTATTCTGAGAAACTACTTTTTGATGCACGTATTCATCTAACAGAGTTGTACGTTTCTTTTGATTGAGCAGTTTTGAAACACTGTTTTTATAGAATCTGCAAGTGGATATTTGGAATGCTTTGAGGCCTACTGTGGAAAAGCAAATATCTTCACGTGAAAACCACACAGAAGCATTCTGAGAAACATCTCTGTGATGTGTGCATTCATCCCACCGAGTTGAAAGTTTCTTTTGATTGAGAACTTTTGAAACACACTTTTTGTAAAATCTGCAAGTGGATATTTGAAGCCCTTTGCAGCCTATGGAGGAAAAGGAAATATCCTGAAATAAATACTACACAGAAGCATTCTGAGAAACTTCTTTGTGATGTGTGCATTCATCTCATAGATTGGAACCTATCTTATGGTTCAGCAGTTTTGAAACACTCTCTTTGTAGAATCTGCAAGTGGAAACTTGGACGATTTCAACCCTGTTGTGGAAAAGGAAATATCTTCACATAAAAACTACAGAGAAGCATTCTGAGAAACTTCTTTGTGATTTGTGCATTCATCTCACAGAGATGAATATTTCTTTTGATTGCACAGTTTTGAAACACTGTTTTTGTAGAATCTGCAACTGGATATTTGTAGCCCTTTGAGGCCTATGTGGGAAAAGGAAGTATCCTCAGATTAGAAACTACACAGAAACATTATGAGAAACTTCTTTGTGATGTGTGCATTCATCTCACAGAGTTGAACTTTTGTTTTGATTGAGAAGTTTTGAAACACTCTTTTTGTAGAAACTGCAAGTTGCTATTTGGAGCCCTTTGCGGCATATGGTGAAACAGGAAATACCTTCACATAAAAACTACACAGAAGCATTCTGAGAAACTTCTCTGTGATGTTTGCATTCATCTCACGGAGTTGAACCTTTCTTTTGTTTGAGCAGTTTTGAAACACTCCTTTTGTAGAATCTGCAAGTGGATATTTGGAGCGCATTGAGGCCTATTGGAGAAAAGGAAATATCTTCACATAAAAACTACACAGAGGCATTCTGAGAAACTTCTTTGTGATGTCTGCCTTCAACTCACAGAATTGAACCGATCTTTTGATTGAGCAGTTTTGAAACTCTCTTTTTGTAGAATCTGGAAGTGGGTATGTGGAGCCGATTTTGGCCTACGGTGGAAAAGGAAATATGTTCACATAAAAACTGCACAGAAGCATTCTGAGGAACTTCTTAATGATGTGTGCATTCATCACAAAGAGTTGAACATTTCTTATGATTGTGCAGTTTTGAAACCCTCTTTTTGTAGAATCAGCAAGTAGATATTTGGAAAGATTTGAGGTGTGTTGTGGAAATGGAAATATCTTCACAGAAGAATTCTGAGAAACTTCTTTGTGGTGTGTGTATTCAACTCACAGTGTTGAACCTATGTTTTCATTTAGCAGTTTTGAAACTCTCTTGTCGTGGAATCTGGAAGTGAGTATTTGAAGTCGTTTGTGTCCTATGGTGGAAAAGGAAATATCTTCATATAAAAACTACACAGAATCATTCTGAGAAACTTCTTTGTGATGTGTGCATTCTTTTCAAAAGGTTGAAAATATCTTTTAATTGAGCAGTTTTGGATCTCTCTTTTTGTAGAATCTGCAAGAGAATATTTCGAGCCCTTTGTGGCCTATGTTGTAAAAGGAAATATCAACACATAAAAACTACACAGAAGAATTCTGAGAAACTTCTTTGTGATGTGTGCATTACTCTCACAGAGTTGAACCATTCTTTTCATTGAGCAGTTTTGAAACAATCTCTTTGTAGAATCTGCAAGTGGATACTTGGAACGCTTTGAGGCCTATTGTGGAAAAGGAAATATCTTCACATAGAAACTACACAGTAGAATTCTGTGAAACTTCTTTGTGATGTGTGCATTCAACTCACAGAGTTGAACCTTTCTTTTGATTGACCAGTTTGGAAACATTCTTTTTGTAGAAACCGCAAGTGGATATGTGGAGCCTTTTGCGGCCTAAGGTGGAAAAGGAAATATCTTCACATAAAAACTACTCAGAAGCATTCTGACAAACTATCTTGTGATATGTGCATTCATCTGACAGAGTTGAACCTTTATTTTGATTGGGCAGTTTTGAAACACTCTTTTGTAGAATCTGCAGGTGGATCTTTGGAGAGCTTTGAAACCTATTGTAAAAAAGAAAATATCTTCACATAAAAACTACACAGAAGGAGTCTGAGATACTTTTTGCGATGTGTGCATTCATTTCACCTTTCTTTTGACTATGCAGTTTGGAAATACTCTTTTAGTGTGATCTGCAAGTGGATATTTGCAGTGCTATGAGGCATATTGAGGAAAAGGAAATATCTTCCCATAAAAAATACACAGAAGCATTCTGAGAAACTTATTTGTGATGTGTGCATTCAACTCACGGAGTTGAACCTATCTTTTGATAAGCAGTTTTGAAACTCTCTTTTTTTTTGGAATCTGCAGGTGGATATTTGGAGCGCTTTGAGGCCTATGGTGTAAAAGGAAATATCTTCCCGTAAAAACTACACAGAAGCATTCAAAGAAACTTCTTTGTGATGTGAGCATTCAACTCACAGAGTTGAACTTATCTTTTTATTGAGGAGCTTTGAAAATCTCTGTTTGTAGAATCTGCAAGTGGATATTTAGAGCCCCTTGCTGCCTGTGGTGGAAAAAGAAATATCTTCACATAAAAACTTCACAGAAGCATTCTGAAAAAACTTCTTGGTGATGTGTGCTTTCATCTCACAGAGTTCAGCATTTCTTTTGATTGAGCTGTTTTGAAACACTATTTTTGTAGAATCTGCAAGTGGATATTTGGAGCACTTTGGGGCCTATTGTGGAAAAGGAAATATCTTCACATGAAAACAACACAGAAACATTCTGACAAATTTCTTTGTGATGTGTGCGTTCATCTCACAGAGTTGAACTTTTCTTTTGATTGAGCAGTTTTCAAACACTGTTTTTGTAGTATCTCTAAGTGGATATTTTGAGTGCATTGAGGCCTATGGTGGAAAAGGATATATCTTCACATAAAATCTACACAGAAGCATTCTGAGAAACTTCTTTCTGATGTGTGCATTCAAATCACAGATTTGAACCTATCTTCTGATTGCACAGTTTTTAACCTCTCTTTTTGTAGAATCTGCAAGTGCATATTTGGAACCCTTTGTGGCCTCTGGTGGAAAAGGAAATAACTTCACATAAAAACTACACAGAAGCATGCTGAGAAACTTCATTGTCATGTGTGGATTCATCTCAGAGAGTTGAAACTTTCTTTTCACTGAGCACTTTTGAAACAGTCTTTTTGTAGAATCTGCAAGTGGATATTTGGAGCCCCTTGAGGCCTACTGTGGAAAAGGAAATATCTTCACATAAAGCTACACAGAAGCATTCTGAAAAACTTCTTTGTGAAATGTTCCTTCAACACACTGTGCTGAACATTTCTTTTCATTGAGCAGTTTTGAAAACCACTATTTGTAGAATCTGCAAGTGGATATTTGTAGTGCTTAGAGGTCTATTGTGGAAAAGGAAATATCTTCACATAAAAACTACACTAAAGCACTCTGAGAAACTTGTTTGTGATGAGTACATTCAGCTCACAGAGTTGAACCTATCTTTTGATAGAGCAATTTTGAAACTCTCTTTTTGTAGAATCTGCAAGTGGATATTTGGAGCCCTTTGTGGCCTATGGTGGAAAAGGAAATATCTTCACATAAAAATTACACAGAAGCATTCTGAGAAATTTCTGTGTAATATGTGCATTCATCTCACAGAGTTGTAACTTTCTTTTGATTGAGCAGTTTGGAAACACTCTTTTAGTAAAATCTACAAGCGGATACTTGGAGCACTTTGAGGCCTATTGTAGAAATGGAAATATCTTCACATAAAAACTAAACAGAAGCATTCTGAGAAACTTCTTTGAGATGTGTGCATTGAACTCAGAGTTGTACCTATCTTTTGATAGACGAGTTTTGAAACTCTCTTTATGTAGAATCTGCAAGTGAATATTTGGAGCCCTTTGTGGCCTATGGTGTAAAAGGAAATAACTTCACGTAAAAACTACACAGAAGCATTCTGAGAAACTTCTTTGTGTTGTGTGCATTCATCTCAAAGAGATGAACCTTTAATTCGATTGAACAGTTTTTAAACACTCTTTTTGTAGAATCTGCAAGTGGATATTTGGAATGCTTTGGAGAGAATGGTGGAAATGGAAATATCTTCATATAAAAACTACGGAGAAGCATTCTGAGAAACGACTTTGTGATGTGTGCATTCAAATCACAGAGTTGAACCATTCTTTTGATTGTGGAGTTTTGAAACTCTCTTTTTGTGGAATCTGCAAGTAGATACTCGGAGGACTTTGTGGAGTATTGTGGAAAAGGAAATAACTTTGCATAAAAGCTACACATATGCATTCTGGGAAACTTCCTTGTGATGTGTGCATTCAGCTCACAGAGTTGAAGCTTTCTTTTGATTGAGCAGTTTTGAAACACTATTTTTTTTTTAAATCTGCAAGTGGATATTTGGTGTGCTTCGCGGCCTATGGTGGAAAAGCAAATATCTTCACATAACAACTAGACAGAAGCATTCTGAGAATCTTCTTTGTGATGTGTGCGTTCATCTCACAAATTTGAACCTTTCTTTTGATTGAGCAGTTTTGAAATACTCTTTTCGTAGAATCTGCAAGTGCATATTTAGAGCGCTTTGAGACGTGTGGTGGAAAAGGAAATATCTTCACATAAACACTAGACAGAAGCATTCTGAGAAATGTCTTTATGATGTTTCCATTCATCTCACAGAGTTGAAACTTTCTTTTCATTCAGCAGTTTTGAAACACTCTTTTATAGAATCTGCAAGTGGATATTTGGAGCGCTTTGGAGAGAATGGTGGAAATGGAAATATCTTCATATAAAAACTACAGAGAAGCATTCTGAGAAACGGCTTTGTTATGTGTGCCTTCAACTCACAGAGTTGCAACTTTCTTTTCATTGAGCAGTTTTGAATCCCTCTTTTTGTAGATTCTGCAAGTGGATATTTGGAGAGCTTTGGAACCTATGGTGGAAAAGGAAATATCTTCACATAAAAACTACACAAAAGCATTCTGAGAAACTTCTTTCTGACGTCTGCATACAACTCACAGAGTTGAACCTTTCTTTTGATTGTGCAATTTTGAAACACTTCTTTTGTAGAATCTGCAAGTGGATATTCGGAGGGCTTTGAGGAGTATAGTGGAAAAGGAAATAACTTTGGACAAAAGCTAGATAGAAGCATTCTGAGAAACTTCTTTGTGATGTGTGCATTCAACGCACAGAGTTGAAGCTTTCCTTTAATTGAGAAGTTTTGAAACACTGTTTTTGTAAAATTTGTAAGTGGATATTTGTTGCCCTTTGCGGCCTATGGTGGAAAAGCAAATATCTTCACATAAAAACTAGACAGAAGCATTATAAGAACCTTCTTTTTGATGTGTGCATTCACCTCACAGAGTTGCAACTTTTTTTATTGGGGACGTTTGAAACACTCTTTTTGTAGAATCTGCAAGTGGGTGTTTGGAGCACTTTGCGGCCTATAGTGGAAAAGGATGTATATTCACGTAAAAACTAGACACAAGCATTCTGAAAAACTTCTTTGTGATGTGTGCCTTCATCTCAAAGAGTTCAACCTTTCTTTTGATGGAGCAGTCTTGAAACACTCTTTTTGGAGAATCTGTAAGTGGATATTTGGAGAACTTTGAGCCCTATGGTGGTAAAGGAAACATCTTCACATAAAAACTACACAGAAGCATTCTGAGATATTTCTTTGTGATGTTTGCATTCATATCACATAGATTAACCATTCTTTTGATTGAGCAGTTTTGAAACACTCTCTTTGTAGAATGTGCAAGTGGATATTTGGAACACTTTGATGAGTATGGTGGAAAAGGAAATATCTTCACATAAAAACTAGACAGAAGTACTCTGAGAAAGTTCTTTGTGATGTGCGCATTCATCTCACAGATTTGAAAATTTCTTTTGATTGAGCAGTTTTGAAACTCTCTTTTTCTAGAATCTGCCAGTGGATATTTGGAGTGCTTTGAGGCCTATGGTGGAGAAGGAAATATCATCACATAAAAACTAGAGAGAAGCATTCTGAGAAACTTCTTTGTGATGTGTGCATACATCTCATGGTGTTGAAACTTTCTATTGAATTAGCGTTTTTTAAACACTTTTTGTAAGATCTGGAGTGGATATTTGGGGCCTTTTGGGTCCTATGGTGGAAAAGAATTATCTTCTCATAAAAACTAGACAGAAGCATTCTGAGAAACTTCTTTGTGATGTGTGTATTCTTCTCACAGATTTGAACCTTTCTTTTGATTGAGCAGTTTTGAAACTCTCTTTTCGTAGAATCTGCAAGTGCATATTTAGAGTGCTTTGAGGCGTGTAGTGGAAAAGGAAATATCTTCACATAAACACTAGAGAGAAGCATTCTGAGAAACGTGTTTATGATGGGTCCATTCATCTCACAGAGTTGAAACTTTCTTTTCATTCAGCAGTTTTGAAACACTCTTTTTATAGAATCTGCAAGTGGATATTTGGAGCGCTTTGTAGAGAATGGTGGAAATGGAAATATCTTCATATAAAAACTACGGAGAAGCATTCTGAGAAACGGCTTTGTTATGTGTGCCTTCAACTCACACAGTTGAACATTTCTTTTGATTGAGCAGTTTTGAATCCCGCTTTTTGTAGAATCTGCAAGTGGATATTTGGAGAGCTTTGGAACCTATGGTGGAAAAGGAAATATCTTCACATAAAAACTACACAAAAGCATTCTGAGAAACTTCTTTCTGATGTGTTCATACAACTCACAGAGTTGAACTTTTCTTTTGATTGTGCAATTTTGAAACACTTCTTTTGTAGAATCTGCAAGTGGATATTCGGAGGGTCTTGACGAGTATAGTGGAAAAGGAAATAACTTTGGACAAAAGCTAGACAGAAGCATTGTGAGAAACTTCTTTGTGATGTGTGCATTCAACTCACAGAGTTGAAACTTTTTTTTGAGGAGGTTTGAAACACTTTTTTTTTCTTATTATTATTATTCTTTAAGTTTTAGGGTAAATGTGCACAATGTGCAGGTTAGTTACATATGTATACATGTGACATGCTGGTGTGCTGCACCCACTAACCCGTCATCTAGCATTAGATATATCTCCCAATGCTCTCCGTCCCCCCTCCCCCCACCCCACAACAGTCCCCAGAGTGTGATGTTCCCTTTCCTGTGTCCATGTGTTCTCATTGTTCAATTCCCACCTATGAGTGAGAATATGAGGTGTTTGGTTTTTTGTTCTTGCAATATTTTACTGAGAATGTTGATTTCCAATTTCATCCATGTCCCTACAAAGGACATGAACTCATCATTTTTTATGGCTGCATAGTATTCCATGGTGTATATGCGCCACATTTTTTTAATCCAGTCTATCATTGTTGGACATTTGGGTTGGTTCCAAGTCTTTGCTAACACTCTTTTTGTAGAATCTGCAAGTGGGTTTTTGGAGCACTTTGCGGCCTATAGTGGAAAAGGATTTATATTCACATAAAAACTAGACAGAAGCATTCTGAAAAACTACTTTGTGATGTGTGCATTCATCACAAAGAGTTGAACCTTTCTTTTGATTGAGCAGTTTTGAAACACTCTTTTTGTAGAATCTGTAAGTGGATATTTGGAGCACTTTGAGGCCTATGGTGGTAAAGGAAATATCTTCACATAAATACAACACAGAAGTATTCTGAGAAACATCTTTGCGATGTGTGCATTCATCTCACAGGTTTGAACATTTCTTTTGTTTGAGCAGTAGTTAAACACTGTTTTGTAGAATCTGCAGTTCGATATTTGGAGAGTTTTGAGGCCTATGTTGGTAAAGGAAATATCTTCAAATAAAATCTGGATGGAAGCAATCTGAGAAACTACTTTGTGATGTGTGCATTCAACTCAAAAAGTTGAACATATCTTTGAGGAGTTTGGAAACATTCTTTTTGTAGCATCTGCAAATGTATATTTGGAGCACTTTAAGGCCTATAGTGGAAAAGGAAATATATTCACATAAAAACCAGACAGAAGCATTCTTAGAAACTCCTTTATGATGTGTGCATTTATCTCACAGAATTCAACATTTCTTTTCATTGAGCAGTTTTGAAACACTTTTTGTGGAATCCGCAATTGGATATTTGGAACGCTTTGCCTCCTATAGTGGAAAAGGAAATATGTTCACATATAAACTATACAGAAGCATTCTGGGAATCTTCTCCATGACGAGTGCATTCATCTCACTGGGTTGAACCTTTCTTTTGATTAAATAGTTTTGAAACACTCTTTTTGTAGAATCTGCAGGTGGATGTATGGAACGCTTTAAGGCCTATGGTGGAAAAGGAAATACCTTCACATAAAAGCTACACAGAAGCATTCTGAGAAACTTCTTTATGATGTGTGCAATCATCTCACAGAGTTGAAACTTTGTTTCGATTGAGCAGTTTTGAAACACACTTTTTGTAGAATCTGTAAGTGGATATTTGGAGTGCTTCCAGTCCTACGGTGTTAAAGGAAATATCTTCACATCAAAACTAGACAGAAGCATTCTGAGAAACTTATTTGTGATGTGTGCATTCATCTCACACAGTTAAACCTTTCTTTTGATTCAGCAGTTTTGAAACACTCTTTTTGAAGAATATGCAAGTGGATATTTGAAACGCTTTGTGGCCTATAGTGGAAAATTTTATATCTTCAAATAAAAACTAGACAGAAGCATTCTGAGAAACTTCTTTGGGATATGTGCATTCATGTCACAGACTTGAAACTTTCTTTTGATTTAGCACTTTAGAAACACCCTTTTGTAAAATCTGCAAGTGGATATTTGGAGCGCTTTGTGACCTCTAGTGGAAAAGGAAGTATCTTCACACAGAAACAAGGCAGAAGCATTCTGAGAAACCTGTTTGTGATGTGAGCATTCCTCTCACAGAGTTGAACCTTTCTTTTGATTGAGCAGTTTTGAAACACACTTTTCGTTGAATCTGCAAGTGGATATTTGGAGAGCATTGGGGCCTATGGTGGAAAAGTAAATATCTTCATATAAAAACTGCACAGAGGTATTCTGAGAAAGTTCCTTCTGATGTGCACATTCAGCTCACCAAATTGGACCTTTCCTTTGATTGAGCAGTTTGAAACACTCTTTTGTAGAATCTGCAATTGGATATTTGAAGCGCTTTCCAGCCTCTAGTGGAAAAGGAAATATCTTCACATGAAAACTAGACAGAAACGTTCTGCGAAACTTCTTTGTGATGTGTGCATTCTTCTCACAGAGTTGAACTTTTCTTTTGATGGAGCAGTTTTGAAACACTCTTTTTGTAGAATCTGCAAGTGGATATTTGGAGCGCTTCCAGTCCTATGGTGTTAAAGGAAATATCTTCACATCAAAACTAGACAGAAGCATTCTGAGAAACTTCTTTGTGATGTGTGCATTCATTTCACAGGATTGAACATTTCTTTTGATTAAGCAGTTTTGAAACACACTTTTTGTAGAATCTGAAGGTGGATATTGGGAGCACCTTGGGGCCTATGGTATAAAAGGAAATATCTTCACATAAAAACTAGACAGAAGCATTCTGAAAACAACTTTGTGATGTGTGCATTCATCTGACTGAGTTGAAAGTTTCTTTTGATTTAGTAGTTTTGAAACGCACATTTGTAGAATCTACCAGTGGATATTTGGAGTGCTTTGGGGCCTAAGGTGGAAAAGGAAATATCTTCACATAAAAACTAGACGGAAGCATTCTGAGAAGCTTCTTTGTGATGTGTGCACTCAACTAACACAGTTGAACCTTTCTTTTGATTGAGCAGTTTTGAAACTCTCTTTTTGTAGAATCTTCAAGTGTATATTTTTAGCACTTTGAGGCCTATGGTGGAAAAGAAAATATCTTCACATAAAAACTAGTCAGAAGCTTTCTGAGAAACTTCTTTGTGATGTGTGCATTCAACTCATGTAGTTGAACCTTTCTTTTGATTCAGCAGTTTGGAAACAGTCTTTTTGTAGTATCTGCAAATGGATATTTGGAGAGCTTTGAGGCCTATGGTGGAAAAGGAAATATCTTCACATAAAAACTAGACAGAAGCATTCTCAGAAACTTCTTTGTGATGTGTGCATTCATCTCACAGAGCTGAAACTTTCTTTTGATTCAGCAGTTTCGAAGTACTCTGTTTATGGAATCTGCTTGTGGATTTTTGGAGCGCTTTGAGTCATGTGGTGGAAAAGGAAATATTGTCATATGAAAACTGGAAAGAAGCATTCTGAGAAAATTCTTTGTGATGTGTGCATTCAACTCACAGAGTTGAAAGTTTCTTTTGATTGAGCAGTTTGGAAACACTGTTTTTGCAGAATCTGCAAGTTCATATTTGTAGCGCTTTGTGGCCTATATTGGAAAAGGAAATATCTTCACATATATACAAGACAGAAGCATTCAGGGAAACTACTTTGTGATGTGCATTCAATTCAAAGAGCTGAACATTTCCTCTGATTGAGCTGCTTGGAAAGCATCTTTCTGTAGTATCTGCAAATGGACATTTTGAGCGCTTTGAGGCCTATGGTGGAAAAGGAAATATCTTCACATAAAAACTAGACAGAAGCATTCTGAGAAAATTATTTGTGATGTGTGCATTCAACTCACAGATTTGAACCTTTCTTTTGATTGAGCAGTTTGGAAGCAGTCTTTTTGTACTATCAACCAGTGGATATTTGGATCACTTTACATCATGGATTGGAAAAGGAAACATCTTCACATAAAAACTAGACAAAAGCATACTGAGAAACTTCTTTGTGATGTGTCCATTCATCTCATAGAGTTAAATCTTTCTTTTGATTGAGCAGGTTTGAAACACTCTTTTTGTAGGTTCTGCAAGTGGATATTTGGAGTGCTCTGTGGCCTATAGTGGAAAAGGAAATATCTTCACATAAAAAATACACAGAAGCACTGTGAGAAATTTCTCTGTGTTGTGTGTAGTCATATCACAGACGTGAAACTTTCTTTGATACAGCAGTTTTAAAACACTCTTTTTGGAGATTCTGAAAGTAGATATTTGGAGAGACTTGAGGCCTATGGTGGAAAAGGAAATATCTTCACATAAAAACTAGACAGAAGCATTCTGAGAAGCTTCCTTGTGATATGTGCATCCATCTCAAAGAGTTGAACCTTTCTTTTGATTGAGCATTTTTGAAGCACTCTGTTTGTAGAATCTTCAAGTGGATATTTGGAGTGCTTTGTGGCCTGTGGTGGAAAAGGAAATATCTTCACATAAAAACTAGACAGAAGCATTCTGAAAAACTTATTTGTGATGTGCTCATTCAACTCACAGATTTAAACTTTTCTTTTGATTGAGAAGTTTGGAAACAGTCTTTTTGTAGTACCTGCAAATGGATATTTGGAGCACTTTGGGGCCTGTGGTGGAAAAGGAAATATATACACATGAAAACTAGACAGAAACATTATGAGAAACTGCTCTGTGATGCGTGCATTCATCACCAGAGTTGAACCTTTCTTTTGATTGAACAGTTTTGAAACACTCTTTCTGTAGAATCTGAAGGGAATATTTGGAGCACTTTGCGGCCTATGGTGAAAAACGAAATATCTTCACATAAAAACTAGACAGAAGCATTCTGAGAAAGTGCTTTGTGATGTGTGCATTCATCTCACAGAGTTAAACCTTTCTTTTGATTGAGCAGTTTTGAAACACTCTTATTGTACAATCTGCAAGTGGATATTTAGAGAGTTTGAGGTCACTGGTGGAAAAGCAAATATCTTCACATAAAAACTAGACAGAACCATTCTGAGAAATCTCTTTGAGATGCATGCATTCAACTCACAGCGTTGGACCTTTCCTTTGATTAAGCAGTTTGGAAACAGTCTTTTTGCAGTATCTGCAAATGGATATTTGGAGCACTTTCAGACCTATAGTAGGAAAGGAAATATCTTCACATAAAAACTAGACAGAAAATTACTGAGAAACTTCTTAGTGATGTGTGCATTCATCTCACAGAGTTGAAACTTTCTTTTGATTGAGCAGTTTGGAAACACTCTTTTAGTAGAAACTGCAAGGGGATATTTGGAGCACTTTGCGATCTATGGTAGAAAAGGATATGTTTTCACATAAAAAATAGAAGCATTCTGAGGAACTTCTTCATGACGTGTGCATTCATCTCAAAGAGTTGAACTTTTCTTTTGATTGAGCAGCTTTGAAAAACTCTTTCTGCAGAATCTGCAAGTTGATATTTGGAGTACTTTGCGGCCTATAGTAGAAAAGGAAATATCTTCACATAAAACTAGACAGAAGCATTCTGAGAAACTTCTTTGTGATGTGTGCACTCATGTCACAGAGTTGAAACTTTCTTTTGTTTGAGCAGTTTTGAAACTCTCTTTTTGTAGAATCTTCAAGTGTATATTTTTAGCACTTTGAGGCCTATGGTGGAAAAGAAAATGTCTTCACATAAAAACTAGTCAGAAGCTTTCTGAGAAACTTCTTTGTGATGTGTGCATTCAACTCATGTAGTTGAACCTTTCTTTTGATTCAGCAGTTTGGAAACAGTCTTTTTGTAGTATCTGCAAATGGATATTTGGAGAGCTTTGAGGCCTATGGTGGAAAAGGAAATATCTTCACATAAAAACTAGACAGAAGCATTCTCAGAAACTTCTTTGTGATGTGTGCATTCATCTCACAGAGTTGAACCCTTATTTTGATTGAGCAGTGTTGAAACACTCTTTATAGAATCAGCAAGTGAATATTTGTTGCACTTTGATGCCTATGGTGGAAAAGTAAATATCTTCACAGAAAAACCACAAAGAAGAATTCTGAGAAACATCTTTGTGCTGTGTGGTTTCATCTCTCATATTTGAACCTTTCTCTTTATTAAGCAGTTTGGTAACAATCTTTTTGTAGTATCTGCAAATGGATTTTTGGAGCTATTTGAGGCCTGTGGTGAAAAAGGAAGTATCCTCACATAAAAACCAGACAGAAGGATGCTTAGAAACTGCTTTGTGATGTGTGCATTAATCTCACAGATTTGAAACTTTCTTTTGATTGAGCAGTTTTGAAACACTCTTTGTGTAGAATCTGCAAGTGAATATTTGGAGTACTTTGAGGCCTATGGTGGAATAGGAAATATCTTCACATTAAAACAGGAGAGAAGCATTCTGAGAAACTTCTTTGTGATGCGTGCATTCGTTTCACAGAGTTGAAACATTCCTTTGATTAAGCAGTTTACCAACTGTCATTTTGTAGAATCTACAGAGGGATATTTGTGAACCCATTGATGCCTATGGGGTGATAGGAAATATCTTCATATAAAAACTAGACAGAAACTTTCTGAGAAACTTCTTTGTGATGTGTGCATTCATCTCACAGAGTTGAACCTTTCTTTTGATTGAGCAGTTTCGAAAAACTCTTTTTGTAGATTCTGCAAGTCGATATTTGGAGCGTTTTGTGTCCTATAGTGGAAAAGGTAATATCTTCACATAAAAACTTCATAAAAGCATTCTGAGAAACTTCTTTGTGATATGTGCATTCATCTCACAGGGTTTAACTTTCTTTTGATTCAGCAGTTTGGAGCCCATCGTTTTGTAGAATCTGTGAAGGGGTATTTTTGTTCCCATTGAGGCTTATGTAGTAATAGGAAATATCTTCACATAAAAACTAAACAGAAAATTTCTGAGAAAATTCTTTGTGATATATGCTTTCATCTCACAGAGTTGAAACTTTATTTTGATTGGATAGTTTGGAATCAGTCCTTTTGTAGAATCTGTAAGTGGATATTTGGAGCGTTTTGATACCTATGGTGAAAAGGGAAATATCTTCACATTAAAAATATACAAATGCATTCTGAGAAACTTCTTTGTCTTGTGTGCATTAATTTCGCAGTCTTGAACCTTGTATTGATTGAGCAGTTTGGAAACAGTAGTTTTGTAGAATCTGTAGAGGGATATTTTTCAGCCTACTGAGGCCTCTGGGGAAATAGGAAACATCTTCACATAAGAACTAGACAGAAGCATTCTGAGAAATTTCCTTCTGATGTGTGCATTAATTTCACAGAGTTGAACCTTTCTTTTGATTGAGAAGTTTGGAAGCAGTCTTTCTGTAGTAACTGCAAATGGATATTTGGAGTGCTTTGAGGCATACGTTTAAAAAGAAAAAAAAAACAAACAAATAACCCCTTCAAAAAGTGGGTGAAGGACATGAACATACACTTCTCAAAAGAATATGTTTATGCAGCCAAAAAACACATGAAAAAATGCTCACCATCACTGGCCATCAGAGAAATGCAAATCAAAACCACAATGAAATACCATCACACACCAATTAGAATGGCAGTCATTAAAAAGTCAGGAAACAACAGGTGCTGGAGAGGATGTGGAGAAATAGGAACACTTTTACAAAGTGGGTGGCACTGTAAACTAGTACAACCATTGTAGAAGTCAGTGTGGCGATTCCTCAGGGATCTAGAACCAGAAATACCATTTGACCCAGCCATCCCATTACTGGGTATGTACCCAAAGGACTATAAATCATGCTGCTATAAAGACACATGCACACGTATGTTTATTGCAGCACTAGTCACAATAGCAAAGAGTTGGAACCAACCCAAATGTCCAACAATGATAGACTTGATTAAGAAAATATGGCACATATACACCATGGAATACTATGCAGCCATAAAAAATGATGAGTTCATGTCCTTTGTAGTGACATGGATGAAATTGGAAATCATCATTCTCAGTAAACTATTGCAAGAATAAAAGACCAAACACCGCATATTCTCACTCATAAGTGGGAATTGAACAATGAGAACACATGGACACAGGAAGGGGAATGTCATACTCTGGGGACTGTTGTGGGGTGTGGTGAGGCGCAGGGATAGCATTATGAGATATACCTAATGCTAAATGACGAGTTAATGGGTGCAGCACACCAGCGTGGTACATGTATACATGTGTAACTAACCTGCACATTGTGCACATGTACCCTAAAACTTAAAGTATAATAATAATACAATAAATAAATAAATAATAAATAAATAAATAAATAAATAAATAAAAAGGAAATATATTCACATAAAAACTTGACAGAAGCATTCTGAGGAACTTCTTTTTCATGTGTGCATTCATTTCACAGAGTTAAAATTTTCTTTTGATTGAGCAGTTTTGAAACACTCTTTTTTTCAGAATCTGCAACTAGATATTTGGAGCATGTTGAGGCCTATGGTGGAAAAGGAAATATCTTCACATAAAAATCAGACACAAGCATTCAGAGAAACTACTTTGTGATATGTGCATTCAACTTCCTGTGTTGAACTTTTCTTTTGATTGAGTAGTTTTAACAAACTCTTTTTGTAGTATCAGAAACTGGATATTTGTAGCGTTTTGAGGCCTATAGAGGAAAAGGAAATATCTTCACATAAAACCCAGAAAGAAGCATTCTGAGAGAATTCTCTTCGATTTCTGCATTCATCTCACAGAGTTGAACCTTTCTTTTTTGAGAAGTATTTAATCACTCTTTTTGTAGAATCTGCAAGGGGATACTTGGAGCACTTTGAGACACTTGGTGGAAAAGGTAATATCTTCACATAAAAATCAGACACAAGCATTCTGAGTAACTTCTTTGTGATGTGTGCATTCAACTCCCTGTGTTGAAACTTTCTTTTGATTGAGCAGTTTTAACACACTCTTTTTGTAGAATCTGCAAGTGGATATTTGGAGCACTTTGAGGCCTATGATGGAAAAGGAAATATCTTCACATAAAAGCTAGACAGAAGCATTCTGAGAAGGTTCTTTGGATGTATGCATTCATCTCACTGAGCTGAACCTTTCTTTTTTGAGAAGTATTTAAACATTCTTTTTGTAGAATCTGCAAGTGGATACTTGGAGCGTTTTGAGGCCTTTGGTGGAAAGGAAATATCTTCACATAAAAACTAGACAGAAGCATTCTGAGAAACCTCTTTGTGATGTGTACATTCATCTCACAGAGTTGAGCCTTTCTTTTGATTAAGCAGTTCAGAAACACTCTTTTTGTAGGATCTGCAAGTGGATATTTGGAGCGCTTTGAGGCCTATGGTGGAAAAGGAAATATCTTCACATAAAAACTAGACAGAAGCATTCTGAGAAATTTCTTTGTGATGTGTGCATTCATCTTACGAAGTTGAACCATTCTTTTGATTGAGCAGTTTTGAAACACACTTTTTGTAGCATCTTCAAGTGGATATTTGTAGCGCTTTGAGGCCTATGGTAGAAAAGGAAACATTGTCACATAAAATCTAGACAGAAGCATTCTGAGAAACTTCTGCCTAATGGGTGTATTCATTTCACGGAGTTGAACCTTTCCTTGGATTGAACAGTTTGGAAACAGTCATTTTGTAGAATCTGCAGAGGGATATTTTTGAGCCCACTGAGACGTATGGGGAGATAGGAAATATCTTCACATAAAAACTAGACAGAAACTTTCTGAGAAACTTCTTTCTGATGTGTGCTTTCATCTCACAGATTTGAACTTTTCTTTTGATTGAGCAGTTTTGAAACAGTCTTTTTGTACAATCTGCAAGTGGATATTTGGGGCACTTTCAGGCCTATGGGGGAAAAGGACACATCTTCCAATAAAAACTAGACAGCAGCATTCTGAGAAGCTTATTTGTGATCTGTGCATTCATCTCACAGAGTTGAACCTTTCTTTTGATTCAGCAGTTTTGAAACTGTCATTTTGTAGAATCTGCAAAGCGATATTTGTGAGCCCATTGAGGCTTCTCAGGAGATAGGAAATATCTTCACATAAAAACTAGACAGATACTTTCTGAGAAACTATTTTGTCATGTGTGACTTCAATTCACCAGGTTGAAACTTTCTCTTTATTGATCAGTTTGGAAACAGTCTTTTTGTAGAATCTGCAAATGGATATTTGGAGCACTTTTGGCCTATGTTGAAAAATGAAATATCTTCCCATAAAAAGTAGGCAGAAGCTTTCAGAGAAATTTCTTTGTGATGTGTGCATTCATCTCACACAGTTGAACTTTTCTTTTGATTGAGCAGTGTGGAAACACTCTTTTTGTAGAGTCTGCAAGTGGTTATTCTGAGCGCTTTGTGGTCTATAGTGAAAAAGGAAATATCTTCACATAAAATCTAGACAGAAGAATTCTGAGAAACTTCCTTTGAATGTGTGTATTCATCTCACAGTGTTGAACCTTTTTTTGTGATTGAGCAGCTTCTAAACAGTCATTTTGTAGAATATGCAAAGGAATATTTGTGAGCCCATTGATGCCTCTGGGGAAATAGGAAATATCTTCAAATAAAAACTAGACCGAATCTTTCTGAGAAACGTCTTTGTGATGTGTGAATTCATCTCACTGAGTTCAACTTTATTTTGATTGAGCAGTTTGGAAACAGTCTTTTTCTAGTGTCTGCAAATGGATATTTTAAGCGCTCTGAGGCCTACAGTGAAAAAGGAAATATCTTCAATATAAATCAGACAGAAGCATTCATAGAAACTTCTCTGTGATGTGTGCATTCATCTCACAGGTTAGAACTTTTCTTTTGATTGAGCAGTTTTGAAACACTCTTTTAGCAGAATCTGCAAGTGTATGTTTGCTGTGCATGAGGAATACAGTGGAAAAGGAATCTTCTTCACATGAAAACGAGACAGAAGCATTCTGAGAAACTTTTCTGTGATGGGTGCATTCATTTCACAGAGTTGAACCTTTCTTGTGATTGAGTGGTTTGGAAACTGTCTTTTCGTGTAATCTGCAGAAGGATATTTGTGCACCAATTGAGGCCTATGGGGCGATAGGAAATATGTTCACATAAAAACTAGACAGAAAATTTCTGAGAAACTTCTTTGTGATATTTGCTTTCATCTCACAGAGTTGAACTTTTCTTTTGATTGAGCAGTTTTGAAACACTCTTTTTGTAGTATCTGCAAGTGGATATTTGGAGCGCTTTGAGGTCATTGGTGGAAAAGGACATATCTTCCAATAAAAACTAGACAGAAGTATTCTGAGAAACATTTTGTGATGTGTGCATTCATCTCACAGAGTTGAACCTTTCTTTTTATTGAGCAGTTTGGAAACAGTATTTTTGTAGAATCTGCAAGTGGATATTTGGAGCACTTTGAGGCTTATGGTGGAAAAGGACATAACTTCCCATATAAATTAGACAGCAGCATTTTGAGAAACTTGTTTGTGATGTCACAGAGTTGAATCATTCTTTTGATTGGTTTGGAAACTGTCCTTTTGTAGAATCTGCAAATGGATGTTTGTTAGCCCATTGAGGCTTCTGGGGAAAGAGAAAATACCTTCACATAAAAGCTAGACAGATATTTTCTAAGAAACTTATTTGTCATGTGTGACTTCATCTCACTGGGTTGCAACTTTCTCTTGATTGAGCATTTGGAAACAGTCTTTTTGTAGAATCTGCAAATGGATATTTGGAGTGCTTTTGGCCTATATTGAAAAACTAAATATTTTCCCATAAAAACTACGCAGAAGCTATCTGAGAAACTTCTTTGCACTGTGTGCATTCATCTCACAGAATTGAACTTTTCTTTTGGTTGAGCAGGGTGGAAACACTCTTTTTGTAGGATCTGCAAGTGGATATTTGGAGCATTTTGCAGCCTATAGTGGAAAGGGAAATATGTTCACATAAAAACTAGACAGAAGAATTCTGAGAAACTTCCTTGGAATGTGTGCATTCATCTCACAGTGTTAAACCATTCTTTTGATTGAGCAGCTTTGAACAGTCGTTTTGTAGAATATGCAAAGGAATATTTGTGAGCCCATTGAGGCCTCTGTGGAAATAGGAAATATCTTCACATTAAAACTAGACAGAATCTTTCTGAGAAACTTCTTTGTGATGTGTGCATTCATCTCACTGAGTTGAACTTTCTTTTGATTGAGTAGTTTGGAAACAGTCTTTTTGTAGTATCTGCAAATGGATATTTGGAGCATATTGAGGCCTATGGTGATAAAGGAAATATCTTCACATAAAAATCAGACAGAAGCATTCGTAGAAACTTCTTTGTGACGTGTGCATTCATCTCATAGATTTGAACCTTTCTTTTGTTTGAACAGTTTTGAAACCGTCTTATAGCAGAATCTGCAAGTGTATATTTGGAGCGCATGTGGAATATGGTGGAAAAGGAATCTTCTTCACATAAAAGCTAGAAAGAAGCATTCTGAGAAACTTCTTTGTGACGGGTGCATTCATTTCACAAGGTTGAACCTTTCCTGTGATTGAGCAGTTTGGAAACAGTCGTGTTTTGGGTAATCTGCAAAAGGATACTTGTGAGCCGATTGAGGCCTATGGGGCAATAGGAAATATCTTCACATAAAAACTAGACAGAAACTTTCTGAGAAACTTCTTTGTGATGTTTGTTTCATCTCACAGAGTTGAAACTTTCTTTTGATTGAGTAGTTTGGAAACAGTCTTTTTGTAGTATCTGCAAATGGATATTTGGGGCGTATTGAGGCCTATGGTGAAAAAGCAAATATCTTCACATAAAAATCAGACAGAAGCATTTGTAGAAACTTTTTGTGATGTACGCATTCACCTCGCAGATTTAAACCTTTCTCTTGATTGAGCAGCTTTGAAAGACTCTTTTAGCAGAATCTGCAAGTGTATATTTGGAGCGCATGAGGAATATGGTGGAAAAGGAATCTTCTTCACATAAAAACTAGACAGAAGCATTCTGAGAAACTTCTTTGTGATGGGTGCATTCATTTCACAGGGTTGAACCTTTCCTGTGATTGAGCAGTCAGGAAACAGTCGTTTTTCATAATCTGCAGAACGATATTTGTAAGCCGATTGAGGCTTATGGGGCGATAGGAAATATCTTCACATAAAAACTAGACAGAAACTTTCTGAGAAACTTCTTTGTGATGTCTGCATTCATCTCACAGAGTTGAACATTTCTCTTGGTTGAGCAGTTTTGAAACACTCTGTTTGTAGAATCCACAAGTAGATGTTTGGAGTGCTTAAAGGCCTATTGTGGAAACGGAAATATCTTCACATAAAAACTAGATAGAATCATTCTGAGAAACTTCTTTGTGTTGTTGGCATTCATCTAACAGAGTTGAACGTTTCTATTGATTCAGCAGTTTGGAAGCAGTCATTTTGTAGAATGTGCAGAGGGATATTTGTGAGCCAACTGAGGCCCATGGGGCAATAGGAAATATTTTCACATAAAAATGAGACAGAAACTTTCTGAGAAACTTGTTTGTGCTGTGTGTTTTCAACTCACAGAGATGAGCCTTTCTTTTGATTGAGCAGTTTGAAAACACTCTTTTTGTAGAATCTGCAAGTGGATATTTGGAGCGATTTTTGGTCTATGGTGGAAAAGGAAATATCTTCAAATAAAAACGAGACAGAAGCATTGTGAGAAACTTCTTTGTGATGTGTGCGTTCATTTCACAGAGTTGAATCTTTCTTTTGACTGAGCAGTTTGGCTACAGTCTTTTTGTAGTATCTGCAAATGGATATTAGCAGCAATTTGAGACTTATGGTAAAAAAGGAAATATCTTCCCATAAAAACTAAGCAGAAGCATTTTGAGAAACTTCTTTGTGATGTGTGCATTTTC
>NC_000015.10:17049334-17076577 GCF_000001405.40 Homo sapiens
TTTTATTATACTTTAAGTTTTAGGGTACATGTGCACATTGTGCAGATTAGTTACATATGTATACATGTGACATGCTGGTGCGCTGCAGCCACTAACTCGTCATCTAGTATTAGGTATATTTCCTAATGCTATCCCTCCCTCCTGCCCCCACCCCACCACAGTCCCCAGAGTGTGATATTCCCCTTCCTGTGTCCATGTGATCTCATTGTTCAATTCCCACCTATGAGTGAAAATATGCGGTGTTTGGTTTTTGTTCTTGTGATAGTTTGCTGAGAATGATGGTTTCCAGTTTCATCCATGTCTCTACAAAGGACATGAACTCTTCATTTTTTATGGCTGCATAGTATTCCATGGTGTATATGTACCACATTTTCTTAATCCAGTCTATGGTTGTTGGACATTTGGGTTGGTTCCAAGTCTTTGCTATTGTGAATAATGCCACAATAAACATATGTGTGCATGTGTCTTTATAGCAGCATGATTTATAGTCCTTTGGGTATATACCCAGTAATGGGATGGCTGGGTCAAATGGTATTTCCAGTTCTAGATCCCTGAGGAATCGCCACACTGACTTCCACAATGGTTGAACTAGTTTACAGTCCCACCAACAGTGTAAAAGTGTTCCTATTTCTCCACATCCTCTCCAGCACCTGTAGTTTCCTGACTTTTTAATGATTGCCATTCTAACTGGTGTGAGATGATATCACATTGTGGTTTTGATTTGCATTTCTCTGATGGCCAGTGATGATGAGCATTTTTTCATGTGTTTTTTGGCTGCATAAATGTCTTCTTTTGAGAAGTGTCTGTTCATGTCCTTCACCCACTTTTTGATGGGGTTGTTTGTTTTTTTCTGGTAAATTTGTTTGAGTTCATTGTAGATTCTGGATATTAGCCCTTTGTCAGATGAGTAGGTTGCAAAAATTTTCTCCCATTTTGTAGGTTGCCTGTTCACTCTGATGGTAGTTTCTTTTGCTGTGCAGAAGCTCTTTAGTTTAATTAGATCCTATTTGTCAATTTTGTCTTTTGTTGCCATTGCTTTTGGTGTTTTGGACATGAAGTCCTTGCCCATGCCTATGTCCTGAATGGTAATGCTTAGGTTTTCTTCTAGGGTTTTTATGGTTTTAGGTCTAACGTTTAAATCTTTAATCCATCTTGAATTGATTTTTGTATAAGGTGTAAGGAAGGGATCCAGTTTCAGCTTTCTAC
Organism: Homo sapiens; assembly: GCF_000001405.40. Lineage (NCBI taxonomy): Eukaryota > Metazoa > Chordata > Mammalia > Primates > Hominidae > Homo > Homo sapiens. Next base: position 17,050,541 of record NC_000015.10, read on the forward strand.
ATATGGCTAGCCAGTTTTCCCAGCACCATTTATTAAATAGGGAATCCTTTCCCCATTTCTTGTTTTTCTCAGGTTTGTCAAAGGTCAGATAGTTGTAGATATGCGGTGTTATTTCTGAGGGCTCTGTTCTGTTCCATTGATCTATATCTCTGTTTTGGTACCAGTACCATGCTGTTTTGGTTACTGTAGCCTTGTAGTACAGTTTGAAGTCAGGTAGTGTGATGGCACAAGACAGGGATGCCCTCTCTCACCACTCCTATTCAACATAGTGTTGGAAGCTCTGGCCAGGGCAATTAGACAGGAGAAGGAAATAAAAGGTATTCAATTAGGAAAAGAGGAAGTCAAATTGTCCCTGTTTGCAGACGACATGATTGTATATCTAGAAAACCCCATTGTCTCAGCCCAAAATCTCCTTAAGCTGATAAACAACTTCAACAAAGTCTCAGGATGCAAAATCAATGTACAAAAATCACAAGCATTCTTATACACCAACAAAAGACAAACAGAGAGCCAAATCATAAGTGAATTCCCATTCACAATTGCTTCAAAGAGAATAAAATACCTAGGAATCCAACTTACAAGGGATGTGAAGGACCTCTTCAAGGAGAACTACAAACCACTGCTCAAGGAAATAAAAGAGGATACAAACAAATGGAAGAACATTCCATGCTCATGGGTAGGAAGAATCAATATCGTGAAAATGGCCATACTGCCCAAGGTAATTTACAGATTCAATGCCATCCCCATAAAGCTACCAATGACTTTCTTCACAGAATTGGAAAAACTACTTTAAAGTTCATATGGAAACACTCTCTTTATAGTATCTGCAAATGGATATTTGGAGAGCTTTGAGACCTATAGTGGAAAAGGAAATATCTTCACATAAAATCTAGAATGAAGAATTCTGAGAAACTTCCTGGTGATGTGTGCTTTCATCTGACACTGGTGAACCTTTCTTTTGATTGTTCAGCTTTGGTACATTCATTCTGTAGAATCTGAAAGGGAATATTTGTAGGCCCATTGAGGCCTCTGGGGAAATAGGTAATATCTTCACATAAAAACCAGACCCAAACTTTCTGAGAAACTTTCTTGTGATATGTGCATGCATCACACAGAGTTGAACTTTCTTTTGATTGGGTAGTTTGTAAACAGTCATTTGTAGTATCTGCAAATGGATATTTGGAGTGTATTGAGGCCTATGGTGAAAAAGGAAATATCTTCACATAAAAATCAGACAGAAGCATCTGGGAAACTTCTTTGTGATGTGTGCATTCATCTCACAGGCTTCAACCTTTCTTTTGATTGAACAGTTTTGAAACAGTCTTTTTTTACAATCTGCAAGTGGCTTTTTGGAGCACTTTGATTCCTATAGTGGAAAGCAAAATATCTTCACATAAAAATTAGACAGAAGTATTCTGTGAAACTTCTTCCTGATATGTGCATTCATCTCACGGGGTTGAAAGTTTCTTTTGATTGAGCAGTTTGGAAAGAGTCGTTTTGTAAAATCTACAAAGGGATATGTGTGAGCCCATTGAGGCTTCTGGGGTAATAGGAAATATCTTCACATAAAAACTAGACAGAAACTTTCTGAGAAACTTCTTTGTGATGTGTGCTTTCATCTCACAGAGCTGAACCTTTCTTTTGATTGAGAAGTATTGAAACACTCTTTTTGCAGAATCTGCAAATGGTTATTTGAGAGCTTTGAGATATATGGTGAAAACGGAAATATCTTCAAATAAAAATTAAACAGAAGCTTTCTATGAAACTTCTTTGTGATGTATGCATTCATCTCACAGAGTTCAACCTTTCTTTTGATTGAGCAGTTTGGAAACAGTCTTTATCTACAATCTGCAAAGGGATATTTGTTGGTCGTTTGAGGCCTCTGCTTAAGAAGTAATATCTTCACATAAAAACTATACAGAAGCTTTCGTAGAAAGTTCTTTTTTATGTGTGCTTTCATCTCACAGAGTTGACTTTTCTTTTGATTGAGCAGTTTAGAAACAGTCTTTTTGTAGTAAATGCGGAGTGATATTTGTGAGTGTTTTAAGGCCTATGGTGAAAAAGGAAATATCCTCACATAAAAACTAGAAAGAAGCTTTCTGAGAAACGTCTTTGTGATGTGTACATTCAGCTCAAAAAGTTGAACTTTTTTTTTGATTGATCAGTTTTGAAACAGTCTTTTATAGTACTTGCAGAGAGATATTTGTGAGCATTTTGGGGACTGTGGTGAGAAAGGAAATATCTTCACATAAAACCTAGTCAGAAGCATTCTGAGAAACTTCTTTGTGATGTGTGCATTCATCTGACAGAGTTGAAACTTTGTTTTGATAGAGCAGTTTGGAAACAGTCCTTTTGTAGGATCTGCAAAGGGATATTTCTGAGCCCATTGAGGCCTTTGTTGAAAAAGGAAATATCTTCGCATAAAAACTAGACAGAAGCTTTCTGAAAAACTTCTTAGTGATTTGTGCTTTCATCTCACAGATTTGAACCTTTCTTTTGATTGAGCAGTTTGGAGACAGTCTTTTTGTAGAATCTGCAAATGGATACTTGGAGCGCTTTGAGGCTTATGGTGAAAAAGGAAATATCTTCACATTAAAACTAAACAGAAGCTTTCTGAGAAACTTATTTTTGATGATTACGCACATCTCACAGAGTTGAACCTTTCTTTTGATTGAGCAATTTGGAAACAGTCTTTTTGTACAATCTGCAAAAGGATTCTTCTGCGAAGTTTGAGGACTGTGGTGAAAAAGAAATATGTTCAGATAAAACCAGACAGAACTATTCTGAGAAACTTCTTTGTGATATATCCATTCATCTCACAGAGTTGAACCTTTCCTTTGATGGAGCAGTTTGGAAACAGTCTTTTTGTAGTATCTGCAGAGCGATATGTGAGAGCAGTTTAAGGCCTATGGTGAAAAAGGAAATATCTTCACATAAAAACTAGGCAGAAGCATTCTGAGAAACTTCTTTGTGATGTGTGCATTCATATCAATGTGGTGAACCTGTCTTTGAATTGAGCAGTTTGGAAACAATCCTTTTGTAGAATCAGCGAAGGGATATTTCTGAGCCCATTGAGGCCTGCGGTGAAATAGGAAATATGTTCATATAAAAACTACACCGAGGATTTCTGAAAAACTTCTTTGTGATATGTGCTTTCATCTCACAGAGTTGAACCGTTCTTTTGATTGAGCGGTTTTGAAAAAGTTTTTGTAGGATCTACACAGGGATTTTTCTGTTCCCTTTGATGCCTATGGTGAAAAACGACATATCTTCACATGAAAACTAGACAGAAGCTTTCAGAGAAACTTCTTTGTGATGTGTCCATTCATCTCACTGGGTTGAACCTTTCTTTTGATTGAGCAATTTGGAAACAGTCTTCTTGTAGACTCTGCAATGGGATATTTGTGAGCCCTTTATGGCCTATGGTGAAACAGGAAATATCTTCAAATAAAAACTAGACAAAAGCTTGCTTATTAACTTCTTTTTCATGTGTGCTTTCATCTCACAGAGTTGAATTTCTCTTTTAATTGAGCAGTTTGGAAACTGTTTTTGTAGGATCTGCAAATGGATATTAGGAACTCTTAGAGGACTATAGTGAAAAAGGAAATATCTTCACATAAAAACTAGACAGAAACTTTTTGAGAAAACTTTTTGTGATGTTTGCATTCATCTCACATAGTTGAACATTTCTGTTGATTGAGCAGTTTGGAAACCGTCTTTTTGTACAATCTGCAAAGGGACATTTCTGATCATTTTGAGGCCTATGGTGAAAAAGAAATATCTTCACATAAAAGCTAGACAGAAGGATTCTGAGAAACTTCTTTTTATGAGTGCATTCATTTCACAGATGTGATGTGAAACTTTCTTTTCATTGAGCAGTTCGAAAACAGTCTTTTTGTACAATCTCCAAAGAGATATTTCTCAGTGGTTTGAGAAAGAAATATCTTCAGATAAAAACAAGACAGAAACATTCTGACAAACTTCTTTGTGATTTGAGCATTCATATCACAGATTTGAACGTTTCTTTTGATTGAGCAGTTTGGAAACAGTTTTTTGTTATTATACTTTAAGTTTTAGGGTACATGTGCACAATGTGCTGTTAGTTACATATGTATACATGTGCCATACTGGTGCACTGCACCCACTAACTCGTCATCTAGCATTAGATATGTCTCCCAATGCTATCCCTCCCCCCTCCCCCCACCCCACAACAGTCCCCAGAGTGTGATGTTCCCCTTCCTGTGTCCATGTGTTCTCATTATTCAATTCCCACCTATGAGTGAGAATATGCAGTGTTGGTTTTTTTGTTCTTGCGAAAGTTTACTGAGAATGATGATTTCCAATTTCATCCATGTCCCTACAAAGGACATGAACTCATCATTTATTATGGCTGCATAGTATTCCATGGTGTATATGTGTCACATTTTCTTAATCCATTCTATCATTGTTGGACATTTGGGTTGGTTCCTTTATTTGTAGTATATGTGGAGTGATATTTGGGAGTGGTTTAAGGCCTATGGTGAAAAAGGAAATATCCTCACATAAAAACTACATAGAAGCTTTCTGTGAAACTTCTTTGTGATGTGTGCATTCATCTCACAGAGTTGGACCTTTCTCTTCTTTGAGCAGTTTTAAAACACTCCTTTTGTAGAACCGGAAAATGGGTATTTTGTTCACTTTGACACCTATGATGAAAAAGGAGATATCTTCACATAAAAACTACAGAGAAGCATTCTGAGAAACTTCTTTGTGATGTGTGCATTCATCTCACACAGTTCAACTTTTCTTCTGATTCAGCAGTTTGGAAACAGTATTTTTGTACAATCTGCAAAGGGATACTTCTTAGCCGATTTCGGTCTATGGTGAATTAGGAAATATCTTCACATAAAAACTAGACAGAAACTTTCTGAGAAACTTCTTTGGGATGTGTGTTTTCATCTCACAGAGATGAAACTTTCTTTTGATTGAGCAATTTGGAAACTCTCTTTTTGTAGGATCTGCAAATGGATATTTAGAGTGCTTTGAGGCCTGTGGTGAAAAAGGAAATATCTCCACATAACAACTAGACAGAAGCATTCTGGAAACATCTTTGTGATGCGTGCATTCATCTCGCAGAGTTGAACATTTCTTTTGATTGAGCAGTTTGGAAACAGTCTTTGATAGTATCTGCAGTGAGATATTTGTCAGCATTTTGAGGACTTGGTGAGAAAGGAAATATCTTCATATAAAACCTAGTCAGAAGCATTCTGAGAAACTTCTTTGTGATGTGTGCATTCATCTGACAGAGTTGAAACTTTGTTTTGATTGAGCAGTTTGGAAACAGTCCTTTTGTAGGATCTGCAAAGGGATATTTCTGAGCCCATTGAGACCTATGGTGAAAGAAGAAATATCTTCACTTAAAAACTAGACATAAACATTCTGAGAAACTTCTTAGTGATGTGTGCTTTCATCTCACAGATTTGAACCTTTCTTTTGATTGAGCACTTTGGAGACGTCTTTTTGTAGAATCTGCAAAGGATATTTTGAGCACTTTGAGGCCTATGGTGAAAAAGGACATATCTTCACATGAAATCTAAACAGAAGCTATCTGAGAAACTTCTTTTTGATGAATACATACATCTCACAGAGGTGAAGCTTTCTTTTCATTGAGCAGTTTGGAAACAGTCTTTTTGTACAGTCTGCAAAGGAATATTTCTGTGAAGCTGGAGGCCTATGGTGAAAAAGAAATATCTTCAGATAAAATGTAGACAGAAGTATTCTGAGAAAATTTTTTGTGACGTATCCATTCATCTCACAGAGTTGAACTTTTCTTTTGATGAAGCAGTCTGTAAACAGTCTTTTTGTAGTATCTTCAGAGGGATATATGAGAGCAGTTTAAGGCCTGTGGTGAAAAAGGAAATATCTTCACATAAAAACTAGGCAGAAGCATTCTGAGAAACTTCTTTATGTTCTGTGCATTCATCTCAAAGAGTTGAACCTGTCTTTGGATTGAGCAGTTTGGAAATTGTCGTTTTGTAGAATCTGTGAAAGGATATTTCTGAGCCCATTGAGGCCTATGGATGAAGTAGGAAATATCTTCATATAAAAACTAGACAGAGGATTTCTGAGAAACTTCTTTGTGATATGTGCTTTCATCTTACAGAGTTGAACCATTCTTTTGGTTGAGCAGTTTGGAAACAGTCTTTTTGTAGGATCTGCAAAGGGATATTTCTGTTCCCATTGATACATATGGTGAAAAAGGACATATCTTCACATAAAGACTAGACTGAAGCTTTCTGATAAACTTCTTAGTGATGTGTGCTTTCATGTCACAGATTTGAAACTTTCTTTTGATTGAACAGTTTGGAAACAGTCTTTTTGCAGAATCTGCAAATGGATATTTGGAGTGCTTTGAGGCCTATGGTGAAAAAGGAAATATCTTAACATGAAAAATAAACAGAAGCTTTCTGAGAAGCTTCTTTTTGATGCGTGCATACATCTTACAGAGTTGAAAGTTTCTTTTCATTGAGCCATTCGGAAACAGTCTTTTTGTACAATCTGGAAAGGGATATTTCTGAGAAGTTGGAGGCCGATATCGAAAAAGAAATATCTTCACATGAAAACTAGACAGAAGTATTCTGAGAAACTTCTTTGAGATGTATCCTTTCATCTCACAGAGTTGAACCTTACTTTTGATGGAGCAGTTTGGAGACAGCTTTTTGGAGTATCTGCAGAGGGATTTCTGAGAGCAGTTTAAGGTCTATGGTGAAAAAGGAAATATCTTCACATAGAAACTAGGCAGAAGCATTCTGAGAAACTCCTTTGTGATGTGCGCATTCAACTCAAAGAGGTGAAACTTTCTTTGGATTGAGCAGTTTGGAAACAGTCCTTTTGTAGAATCTGCAAAGGGATATTTCTCAGCCCATTGAGGCCTATGATGAAATAGGAAACATCTTCTCATAAAAACCAGACAGAAGCTTTCTGAGAAATTTCTTTGAGATATGTGCTTTCATCTCACAGAGTTGAACCTTTCTTTTGGCTCAGCAGTTTGGAAACAGTCTTTGTGTAGAATCTGCAAAGGGCTATTTTTGAGCCCTTTATGGACTATGGTGAAACAGAAAATATCTTCACATAAAAACAAGACAGAAGGTTTCTGAGAAACTTCTTTGTGATGTGTTCTTTCATCTCACAGAGTTGTAACTTTCCTTTGATTGAGCAGTTTGGAAACACTCTTTTTGAAGAATCTGCAAATGGATATTTGGAGCTCTTTGAGGCCTATGGTGAAAAAGGAAATATCTTCACATAAAAACTAGACAGAAGCATTCTGAGAAACTTCTTTGTGGTGGGTGCATTCAACTCAAAAAGTTGAACATTGGTTTTGATTGAGTAGTTTGGAAACAGTCTTTTTGTAGAATCCGCAAGTGGAAATTTGGAGCTCTTTACAGCCTATAGTGGAAAACGAAATATCTTCATATAAAAACTAGACAGAAACATTTTGAGAAACTTCGTTGTGTTGTGTGCATTCATCACAAAGAGTTGAACCTGTCTTTGGATTGAGCAGTTTGGAAACAGTCCTTTTGTAGAATCTGTGAAGGGATATTTCTCAGCCCATTGATGCCTATGGATGAAATAGGAAATATTCTCACATAAAAACTAGACAGAAATTTCTGAGAAACTTCTTTGTGATATGTGGTTTCGTCTCACAGAGTTGAACTGTTCTTTTGGCTGAGCAGTTTGGAAACACTTTTTTGTAGAATCTGCAAGTGGATATTTGGAGCACATTGAGACCTATGGTGGAAAATGAATTATTTAAACATAAAAATTAGACAGAAGCATTCTGAGAAACTTCTTTGTGATGTGTGCATTCAACCCACAGAGTTCAACCTTTCTTTTGATTCAGCAGTTTCGAAACACTCTTTTTGTAAAATCTGCCAGTGGATCTTTGGAACGCTTTGAGGCCTATGGCAGAAAAGGAAATATTTTCACATAAATAGTACACAGAAGCATTCTGAGAAACTTCTTTGTGATGTGTGCATTCAACTCAAAGAGTGGCATCCTTTTGTTTGAGCAGTTTTGAAAGACTCCTTTTGTAGAATCTGCAAAGGATATTTGGAGCGCTATGTGGCCTTAAGTGGAAAAGGCAATATCTTCACATAAAAACTAGACAACAGCATTCTGAGAAACTTCTTTGTGATGTGTGCATTCATCTCACAGAGATGAAGCTTCCTTTTGATTGAGTAGTTTTGAAACACTCTTTTTGTGGAATCTCCAATTAGATACTTGGAGCGCTTTGAGGCGTATGGTGGAAAAGGAAATATCTTCACATGAAAACTACACAGAAGCATTCTGAGAAATTTGTTTGTGATGTGTGCATTCAACACACAAAGTTGAACCTTTCTTTTGATTGAGCAGTTTTGAAACACACTTTTTTTAGGATCTGCAAGTGAATATTTGGAGCACTTTGTGGTCTATTGTGGAAAAGGATATATCTTCACATAAAAAGTACGGAGAAGCATTCTGAGAAACTTCTTTGTGATGTGTGCATTCATCTCACAGAGTTCAACCTTTCTTTTGATTGAACAGTTTTGAAACGCTCTTTTTGTAGAGTGTGCAAGTGCATATATGGAGCTCTTTGAGGCTTACGGTGGAAAAGGAAATATCTTCACATAAAATCTACAGAGAAGTATTCTGACAAAGTTCTTTATGCTGTGTGTGTTCAACTCACAGAGTTGAACCTTTCTTTTGATTAAGCAGTTTTGAAATGCTTTTTAGAATCTGCAAGTGGATATTTTGAGTGCTTTGCAGCCTCTCTTGGAAAAGGAAATATCTTCACATAAACTAGACAGAAGCATTCTGAGAAACATCTTTGTGATATGTGCATTCATCTCACAGAGTTGAAATTTTCTTTTTATTGACCAGTTTTGAAACACTCTTTTTGTACAGTCTGCAAGTGGATATTTGTAGTGCTTTGAGGTCTATGGTGGAAAATGAAATATTTTCACAATAAAATTAGACAGAAGCATTCTGTGGTACTTCTTTGTGATGTGTGCATTCATCTCACAGAGTTGAACCATTCTTTTGATTGAGCAGTTTTGAAATACTGTTTTTGTAGACTCTGCAAGTGGTTATTTGGAGCACTTTGTGGACTATAGTGGAGAAGGAAATATCTTCACATAAAAACTAGAGAGAACCATTCTGAGAAAGTTCTTTGTGATGTGTGCATTCAACTCACAGAGTTGAACCTTTCTTTTGATTGAGCAGTTTTGAATGTCTCTTTTTGTAGAATCTGCAAATGGATATTTGGAGCGCATTAAGGTCTATGGTGGAAAAGGAAATATTTTCACATAAAAACTACAGAGAAGCATTCTGAGAAACTTCTTTGTGATGTGTGCATTCAACTCACAGTGTTCAACCTTTCTTTTGATTGAGCAGTTTTGAAACACTCTTTTTGTAAAATCTGCCAATGGATATTTGGAGCGCTTTGAGGCCTATAGTGGAAAAGGAAATATCTTCACATAAATAGTAGACAGAAGCATTCTGAGAAACTTCTTTGTGATGCGTGCCTTCAACTCACAGAATGGAACCCTTCTTTTGATAGAGCAGTTTTGAAAGACTCCTTTTGTAGAACCTACAATTGGATATTTTTGGGTGCTATGTGGCCTTAAGTGGAAAAGGCAATATCTTCACACAAAAACTAGACAGAAGCATTCTGAGAAATTTCTTTGTGATGTGTGCATTCATCTCACAGAGTTGAAGCTTTCTTTTGATTGAGCAGTTTTGAAACACTCTTTTTGTAGAATCTGCAAGTGGATATTTGGAGCACTTTGCGGTCTATAGTGGAAAAGGAAATATCTTCACATAAATATTTGTCAGAAGCATTCTGAGAAACTTTTTCTTCATGTGTACATTCATCTCACAGAGTTCAACCTTTCTTTTGATTGAGCAGTTTTGAATCACTCTTTTTGTAGTATCTGCAAAGGGATACTTCGAGCGGTTTGAGGTCTATGGTGTAAAAGGAAATATCTTCAACTAAAAACTAGACAGAAGCATTCTGAGAAACTTCTTTGTGGTGTGTGCATTCATATCACTGTCTTGATCCATTCTTTTCACTGAGCAGTTTTGAAACACTCCTTGTGTAGAATCTGCAAGTGGGTATTTGGAGCACTTTGAGGCCTATTGTGGAAAAGGAAATGTCTTCACATAAAAACTAGACAGAAGCATACTGAGAAAATTCTTTGTGACGTGTGCATTCATCTCACAGAGCTGCACCTTTCTTTTGATTGAGCAGTTTTGAAACACTCTTTATAGAGTGTGCAAGTGGATATTTGGAGCGCTTTGATACTTATGGTGGAAAAGCAAATATCTTCACATAAAAACTACAGAGAAGTATTCTGACAAAGTTCTTTGTGCTGTGTGTGTTCAACTCACAGAGTGGAACTTTTCTTTTGATTAAGCAGTTTTGAAACAATCTTTTTTAGAATCTGCAAGTGGATATTTTGAACGCTTTGCGGCCTCTGTTGGAAAAGGTAATATCTTCACATAAACTAGACAGAAGCTTTCTGAGAAATTTCCTTTGATGTGTGCCTTCATTTCACAGAGTTGAACCTTTCCTTTGATTGAGCAGTTCTGAAACACTCTTTTTGTAGAATCTGCAAGTGGATATTTGGAGCGCTGTGTGGCCTCTGGTGGAAAAGGAAATATCTTCACATAAAAACTAGACAGAAGCATTCTGAGAAACTTCTTCATGATGTGTGCATTCATCTCACAGAGTTGAACCTTTCTTTTGATTGAGCAGTTTTGAAACACTCTTTTTGCAGAATCTGCAAGTGGATATGTGGAGCACTTTGAGGCCATGATAGAAAAGAAAATATCTTCACATAAGAACTAGACAGAATCATTCTAAGATACTTATTTGTGATGTGCACATTCAACTCACAGAGTTGAACATTTCTTTTGATTGAGCAGTTTTGAAACACTCTTTTTGTAGAATCAGCAGTTGGATATTTAGAGCGCTTTCAGGCCTATGGTGGAAAAGGAAATATCTTCACATAAAAACTAGACAGAAGCATTCTGAGAAACTTTTTTGTGACGTGTGCATTCAACTCACAGAGTTGAACATGTCTTTTTATTGAGCAGTTTGGATACATTCTTTTCGTACCATCTTCAAATTTGTATTTGGACAGCTTTGAGGCCTATAGTGGAAAAGGAAATATCTGCACATAAAAACTAGATAGAAGCATTCGGAGAAACTTCTTTGGATGTGTGCATTCATCTCACAGAGTTGAACCATTCTTTTGATTGAGCAGTTTTGAAACACTTTTTGTAGAATCTGCAAGTGGATATTTGGATCACTTTGAGGCATACAGTGGAAAAGAATATATCTTCCCATAAAAGTAGTCAGAAGCATTCTGAGAAACTTCTTTGTGATGTGTGTTTTCAACTCACAGAGTTGAACCTTTATTTTGATTGAGCAGTTCTGAAACACACTTTTTATAGAATCTGCAATTGGATATTTGGATTGCTTTGTGGCCTCTTGTGGAAAAGGAAATATCTTCACATAAAACCTACAAGGAATCATTTTGAGAAACTTCTTTGTGATGTGTGCTTTCAGCTCACAGAGTTGAACCTTTCTTTTGGTTGAGCAGTTTTGAAACACTGTTTTTGTAGAATCTGCAAGTGGATATTTAGAATGCTTTGATGCCTATGGTGGAAAAGGAAATATCTTCACATGAAAACTAGACAGAAGCATTCTGAGAAACTTCTTTGCGTTGTGTGCATTCATCTCACAGAGTTGGACTTTCTTTTTGTTGAGCAGTTTGGAAACACTCTTTTTGTAGAGTCTGCCATTGGACATTTGGAGCGCTTTGAATCCTATGGTGGAAAAGGACATATCTTCACATAAGAACTATAAAGCAGGTTTTCTAAAAACAACCTTGTGATGTGTGCATTCATCTCACAGAGGTAAGTGTTTCTTTTCTGTAATCAGTCTGGAAACTCTGTTCTTGTACAATCTCAAAAGCGGTATTTTTGAGCACATTGAGGCCTATTGTGATAAAGGAAATATCTTCACATTCAAAGTATAAAGGAAGTTTCTGAGATACTTCTTTGTGATATGTGCATTCATCTCACAGATTTGATCGTCTCTTTTAATTCAGCCGTTTGGAAACAGTCTTTTTGAAGAATCTGCAAACGGATATTTGTGAGCACTTTGAGGGCTATGCAGGAAAAGAAGTATCTTCACAGAAAACCATAAAGAAGGTTTCTGAGAAACTGTTTTTTGATGTCTGCATTCATCTCGCAGAGGTAAACAATTCTTTTCTTTGATCAGTTGGGAAACTCTGTTCTTGTAGGATCTGCTAAGGGACATTTTTGAGTGCCTAGGGCCCTATGGTGAAAAAGATATTGTCTTCACATAAAAATTAGACAGAGGCCTACTGAGAAACTTCTTGGTGATGTGTGCATTCATCTCACAGAATTGTAACTTTCTTTTGATTAAGCAGTTTAGAAACGTCTTTTTGTGGAATCTGTAAAAGGATATTTCTGATCACTTTGAGGCCTATGGTGAAAGAGAAAGTATCGCCTACTGAGAAATTTCTTGGTGATGTGTGCATTCATCTCACAGAATTGAAACTTTCTTTTGATTAAGCAGTTTGGAAACATCTTTTTGTGGAATCTGTAAAGGGAAATTTCTGAGCACTTTGAGGCCTATGGTGAAAGAGAAAGTATCTTCACATAAAAACTATACTAAAGATTTCTGAGAAACTGCTTTCTGATGTATGTATTCATCTCACAGATTTCAACAATTCTTTTGATTGAGCAGTTGGGAAACCATCTTTTTGTAGAATCTGCAAAGGGATATTTGTGAGCACTTTGAGGTCTATGGTTAAAAGGAAATATCTTCACATAAAAACTATAAAGAAGGTTTGTGAGAAACTTCTTTATGATGTGTGCATTCATCTCACAGAGTTGAACCATTCCTTTGACTCAGTGGTTTGGAAACAGTCCTTTTTTAGGATCTACAAAGGGATATTTTTGAGCACTTTGAGGCCCATGGTGAAAAAGGAAACACTTTCACATAAAAACTAGAAGCTTTCTGAGAATCATCTTTTTGATATGTGCATTCATCCCACAGAGGTGAGCCTTTCTTTTGATGAGCATTTTGGAAGCAGTATTTGGTAGAATTTCCAAAGGGTTATTAGTTAGTGTTTTGTGTCCTATGTTGGAAAAGGAATTATTTTTACATAAAAACTAGACAGAATGTTTCTGAGAAACTGACTTGTGATGTGTGTTTTCATCTCACAGAGGTAACCATTTCTTTTCATTGAACAGATTGGAAATTCTGTTCTTGTAAAATCTGCAAAGTGATATTTGTCAGCATTTTGAGGCCTATGGTGAAAAAGGAATTATCTTCACATAAAAACTAGACAGAAGATTTCTGTGAAACATCTTGGAGATGCGAGAATTCATCTCACAGAGTTGAAACATTCTTCTGATTGGGCAGTTTGTAAACAATATTTTGGTAGAATCTGCAAAGGGATATTTGTGACGCTTTGAAGCCTATGGTGAAAATGAAATATTTTCACATGAAAACTAGAGAGAAGCTTTCTGAGAAACCTCCTTGTGATGTGTGCATTCATCTCACAGATTTGAAACTTTCTTTGGATTGAGAAATTTGGAAACAGTATTTTTGTAGAATCTGTAAAGTCATATTTTTGAGTGGTATGAGGCCTATGATGAAATAGGAAATATCTTCACATAAAAACTAGACAGAAGCTTTCTGAGAAACTTCTTTGTGATGTGTGCATTCATCTCGTAGAGTTCAACCATTCTTTTGATTGAACAGTTTGGAAACAGTCTTTTTGTAGAATCTGCAAAGGGATATTTATGAGTGCTTTGAGGCCTATGGTGAAAAAGGAAATGTATTCACATAAAAAGTATAAACAAGGTTTCTCAGAAACATCTTTGTGATGTATGCATTCATCTCACAGAGGTAAACGTTTATTTTCTCTGATCTGTCTGGAAACTGTTCTTGTAGATTCTGCAAAGGGATATTTGTGAGTACTTTGAGGCCTATGGTGAAAAAGGAAATATCTTCACATAAAAATTAGAGAGAGGTTTTCTGAGAAACCTCTTTGTGATGTGGGCACTCATCTCACAAAGTTGAAACTTACTTTTGATTGAGCAGTATGGAAACCATCTGTTTGTGGAATCTGCAAAGGGATATTTATGAGAGCTTTGAGGCCAATTGTGAAAAAGGAAATATATTTATATAAAAGGTATAAAGAAGGTTTCTTAGAAACAGCTTTGTGGTGTGTGCATTGATCTCAGAGAGGTAAACGTTTATTTTCTATGATCAGTCTGGAAACTGTTCTTGTAGAATCTGCAAAGGGATATTTGTGAGTGCTTTGAGGCCTATGATGAAAAAGGAAATATCTTCACATAAAAACTAGACAGAAGTTTTCTTAGTGGCTTCTTTGTGATGTGTGCAATCATCTCACAGATTTGAACCATTCTTTTGATTGAGCAGTCTGGAAACAGTCTTTTTGTAGAATCTGCAAGGGATATTTTTCACGACTTGGAGTGCTATGGTGAAAAAGGAAATATCTTCACATAAAAAATGGACAGAAGATATCTGAGAAACCTCTTTGGGATGTGTGCATCCATCTCACAGAGTTCAACCATTTATTTGATTGAGAAGTTGGGAAGCAGTCTTTTTGCAGAATCTACAAAGGGATATTGCTGAGCAATTTGATGCCTGAGTTGAAAAAGGAAATACTTCACATAAAAACTATAAAGAAGGTTTCTGAGAAACTTTTTTGTGATGTATGCATTCATCTTACAGAGTTGAACTATTCTTTTGATTGAGTACTTTGGAAACAATCTTTTTGTAGAATCTGCAAAGGGATATTTTTGAGTGCTTTGAGTCCTAGGGAGAAAAAAGAAACATCATCACATAAAAAGTATAAAGAAAGTTTCTGAGAAAAAGTTTTATGATGTGTGTATTCATCTCACAGACAAAAACGTTTGTTTTGTTTGATCAGTCTGGAATTTCTGTTCTTGTAGAATCTGCTAAGGGATATTTGTGAGCAGATGGAGGCCTATGGTGAAAAAGGAAATGACTTCATATAAAAATTAGACAGAAGCCTCCTGCAAAACTTCTTAGTGATGTGTGCATTCATCTCACAGAGTAGAAACTTTCTTTTCATTGAGCCGTTTGGAAACAGTCTTTTTGTAGACTCTGCAAATGGAAATTTGAGCACTTTGAGGCCTATGGTGAAAAATGAAATAGATTCACATAAAAACCAGACTGAAACTTTCTGAGAAGCTTCTTTGAGATGTGTGCATTCATCTCACAAAGTTCAATAATTCTTTATATTGAGTAGTTTGGAACAATCTTTTTGTAGAATCTGCAAAGAGATATTTGTGAGGGCTTTGAGGCCTATGGTGAAAAAGGAAATATCTTCACAGAGAAGCTATAAAGAAGGTTTCTGATAAACTTCTTTGTGATGTGTGCATTCATCTCACACAGTTCAAACTTTCTTTTGATTGAGCAGTTTGGGAACAGTCTTTTTAAATATTCTTCAAGTGGATACTTGTGAGCACCTTGAGGCTCATGGGGAAAAAGGAAACATTCACATAAAAACTTAATAGAAGCTTTCTGAGAAACCACTTTTTGACGTGTGCATTCATCTCACAGAGTTGAATCTTTCTTTGAATGAGCAGTGTGGAAACAATCTTTTTGTAGAATCTGCAAAGGGACAATTTTGAGCACTTTGCATCCTGTGGTGGAAAAGGAGATACCTTCACATAAAAACTAGACAGAATGTTTCTCAGAAACTGCTTTGAGATATGTGCATTCATCTCCCAGATGTGTCTGTTTCTTTTCATTGAGAAGATTGGAAACTCTTTTCTTGTAAGATCTGCAAAGGGATATTTGTGAGCCCTTTGAGGTGTATGGTGAAAAAGGAAATATCTTCACATGAAAACTACACAGAAGCTTTCTGAGAAACATTCTGGTGATGTGAGAATTCACCTCACAGAGTTGAAACATTCTTTTGATTGAGCAATGTGTAAAGAGTCTTTTCATAGAATCTGCAAAGGGATATTTGTGAATGCTTTGAGGCTTATGGTGAAAAAGGAAATATCTTCACATAAAAACTAGAGAGAAGCTTTCTGAGAAATCTCTTTGTGGTGTGCATACATCTCACAGAGTTGAACCTTTCTTTTGATTGAGCAATTTGGAAGAAGTATTTTTGTAGAATCTGTAAAGGGATATTTGTGAGCCCTTTGAGGCCTATGGTGAAAAACTAGAAAGAAGTATTCTGAGAAACTGCTTCATGATGTGTGCATTCATCACACAGAGTTGAACCTTTGTTTTGATTGAGCCATTTGGAAACAGTCTTTTTGTAGACTCTGCAAATGGATATTTGGAGCACTTTGAGGCCTATCGTGAAAAAGGAAATATATTCACATAAAAACTAGACTGAAGGATTCTGAGAAACTTCTTTGAGCTGTGTGCATTCATCTGACAGTGTTCAATAACTCTTTTTAATGAGCGGTTTGGAAACAGTTTTTTGGTAGAATCTGCAAAGGGATATTTGTGAGGGCTTTGAGGCCTATGTTGAAAAAGGAAATATCTTCACAGAAAAACCATAAAGAAAGTTTCTGAGAAACTTCTTTGTAAGTGTGCATTCATCACACAGAGTTGAAACATTCTTTGGATTGAGCAGTTTGCAAACAGTCTTTTTGTAGAATCTGCAGAGGGATATCTGTAGTGCTTTGAGGCCTATGGTGAATAAGGAAATATCTTCACATAAAAACTAGACAAAGTTTTCTGAGAAAATTTTGTGATGTGTGCATTTATCTCATAGAGTTTAACATTTGTTTTGATTGAGCAGTTTGGAAACAGTCTTTTTGTAGAATCTGAAAAGGGATATTTAGGAGCAAGTTGAGGCCTATGGTGGAAAAGGAAATATCTTCACATAAAACCTAGAAAGAAGCATTCTGAGAAGCTGCTTTAAGATATGTGTATTCATCTCACAGAAGTAAACATTTCTTTTCATTGAGCAGTTTGTAAACTCTGTTATTCTAGAGTCTGCCAAGGTACATTTTTGAGTGCTTTGAGACCCATCTTGAAAAGGGAACTATCTTCACATAAAAACTAGTGAGAAGCTTGCTGAGAAACTACTTTCTGATGTGTGCATTCATCTAACAGAGTTGAAACTTTCTTTTGATTGAACACTTTGGAAACAGTCTTTTTGTAGATTCTGCAAAGGTATATTTGGGAGTGCATTGAGGCCTATGTTCAACAAGGAAATATCTTCACATAAAACTGAGAAGGAAATTTTCTGAGAAACTTCTTTGTGATGTGCACGTTCGTCTCACAGGGTTGAACCATTCTGTTTATTGTGCAGTTTGGAAACAGTCTTTTTGTAGAATCTGCAAAGGGATATCTGCGAGCGCATTGAGGCATATGGTGAAAAAGGAAATATCTTCACATTAAAAGTAGAAAGAAGTTTTCTGAGTAACTCCTTTGTGACATGTGCATTTATCAAAGAGAAGTAAAAATTTCTTCCCATTGAGCAGTTAGTTTTTATGTGAAGATATTTCCGTTTTCACCATAGACCTCAAACTGCCTACATATATCCCTTTGCAGATTCTACAAAAAGACTGTTTCCAAACTGCTCAATCAAAGAAAGCTTCCACTCTGCGAGATGAATGCACACATCACACAGAAGTTTCTCAAAAAGTTTCTGTCTAGTTTCTATTTGTTGATACTCCCTTTTTCACTATAGGCCTCAAACTGCTCATGAATAACCCTTTGCAGATTCTACAAAAAGACTGTTTACAAACTACTCAATCAAAAGAAAGCTTCAATTCTGTGAGGTGATTGCACACGTCACAAAGAAGTTTCTCAGAAAGCTTCTGTCTAGTTTTTATTTGAAGATGTTTCCTTTTTCAATATAGGCCTCAAAGTGCTCACAAATGTCCCTTTACAGATTTTACAAAAAGACTGTTACCAAACTGCTCAACTGAAACAAAGCTTCAACTCTTTGAGATGAATGCACACATCACAAAGAAGTTTCTCAGAAAGCTTCCATCCAGTTTTTATGTGAAGATATTTCCTTTTTCACCATAAGTCTCAAAGCATTCAAATTATCACTTTGCAGATTCTGCAAAAAGACATTTTCTAACCTGCTCTATCTAAAGAAAGGTTTAACTCTGTGAGAAGAATGCACACATCAAAAATAAGTTTCTCAGAATGCTTCTGTCTAGTTTTTATCTGAAGACATTACCTTTTTCACCATAGACCAAAAAGGGATCCCAAATATCCCTTTGTACATTCTACAAAGGACTGTTTCAAAACTGCTCAATCCAAAGACAGGTTCAAATTTTGGGATGAATGTACACATCACAATGAAGTTTCTCAGAAAGCTTCTGTCTCGTTTTTGTGTGAAGATATTTCTTTTTTCACCATAGGCTTCAAAGGGCTCACAAATATCGCAAAGCAGATTCTACAAAAAGACTCTATCCAAACTGGTCAAGGAAACGAACACTTCAAATCTGTGAGATGAATGTGCACATCTCAAAGAATTTTCTCAGAAAGCTTCTGTCTAGTTTTTATGTGAAGATATTTCCATTTTCACCATAGACCTGAAACCGCCTATATATAACCCTTTGCAGATTCTACAAAAAGACTGTTTCCAAACTGCTCAATCAAAGAAAGCTTCTACTCTGTGAGATGAATGCACACATCACAGAGAAGTTTCTCAGAAAGTTTCTGTCTAGTTTTTGTCGATACTCCCTTTTTCACCATAGGCCTCAAACCGCTCATGAATAACCCTTTGCAGATTCTACAAAAGGACTATTTCCAAACTGCTCAATCAAATGAAAGTTCAGCAGTGTGAGTTTCTCAGAACGTTTCTGTCTAGTTTTTATGTGAAGATACTTCTTTTTCACCATAAGCCTCAAAGCGTTCCCAAATTTTCCTTTGCAGATTCTATGAAAAGACTGTTTCCAAACTGCTCAATCAAAAGAAAGGTTCAATTCTGTGTGATGAATGCACACATCACAACGAAGTTTTTCAGAAGGCTTCTGTCTAGATTTTATTTGGGATATTTCCTTTTTCACAGTAGGCCTCAGAAAGCTCACAAATATCCCTTTGCATGTTCTACAAAAAGACAGTTTCCAATCTGCTCATTGAAAGAAAATTCAACTCTGTGAGATGAATGCATGCATCACAAAGTGGTTTCTCAGAATGCTTCTGTCTAGTTTTTATATGAAGATATTTCGTTTTTCATCGCATGCCTCAAACCACTCAAAAACATCCCTTTGCAGATTCTCCAAAAAGACTGTTTCCAATCTGCTCAATCAAAAGAAAGATTCAAGTCTTTGAGATGCATAAACTCATCACAAAGAAGTTTCCCAGAAAACGTGAGTCTAGTTTTCATGTGAAGATATTTCCTTTTTCACCATAAGCCTCAAAGCATTCACAAATATCACTTTGCAGGATCTATGAAAAGACTGTTTCCAAACTGGTCAATCAAAGGAAGTTTCAACCCTGTGAGGTGAATGCACACATCACAAAGAAGTTCTTCAGAAAGCTGCTGTCTACATTTTATTTTTCAATATTTCCTTTTTCACCATTGGATTCAAACCACTGAAACATATCACTGTGCAGATTCTACAAAAAGACTGTTTCCAAACTGCCCAATCAAAAGAAAGATTCAACTCTGTGAGATGAATGCACACATCACAAAGAAGTTTCACAGATAGCTCTTATTATTTTGAGATACGTCCTATCAATACCTAATTTATTGAGAGTTTTTAGCATGAAGGGTAGTTGAATTTTGTAAAGGCCTTTTCTGCATCTATTGAGATAATCGTGTGGTTTTTGTCTTTGGTTCTCTTTATATGCTGGATTACATTTATTGATTTGCGTATATTGAACAAGCCTTGCATCCCAGGGACGAAGCCCACTTGATCATGTTGGATAAGCTTTTTGATGTGCTGCTGGATTCAGTTTGCCATTATTTTATTGAGGATTTTTGCATCAATGTTCATCAAGGATATTGGTCTAAAATTCTCTTTTTTGGTTGTGTCTCTGCCCGGCTTTGGTATCAGGATGGTGCTGGCTTCATAAAATGAGTTAGGGAGGATTCGCTCTTTTTCTATTGATTGGAATAGTTTCAGAAGGAATGGTACCAGTTCATCCTTGTATCTCTGGTAGAATTCGGCTGTGAATCCATTTGATCCTGGACTCTTTTTTGTTGGTAAGCTATTGATTATTGCCACAATTTCAGAGCCTGTTATTGGTCTATTCAGAAATTCAACTTCTTCCTGGTTTAGTCTTGAGAGGGTGTATATGTCGAAGAATTTATCCATTTCTTCTAGATTTTCTAGATTATTTGCATAGAGGTGTTTGTAGTATTCTCTGATGGTAGTTTGAATTTCTGTTGGATCGGTGGTCATATCCCCCTAATCATTTTTTATTGCATCTATTTGATTCTTCTCTTTTTTCCTCTTTATTAGTCTTGCTAGCGGTCTATCAATTTTGTTGATCCTTTCAAAAAACCAGCTCCTGGATTCATTAATTTTTTGAAGGTTTTTTTGTGTATCTATTTCTTTCAGTTCTGCTCTGATTTTAGTTATTTCTTGCCTTCTGCTAGCTTTTCAATGTGTTTGCTCTTGCTTTTCTAGTTCTTGTAATTGTGATGTTAGGGTGTCAATTTTGGATCTTTCCTGCTTTCTCTTGTGGGCATTTAATGCTATCAATTTCCCTCTGAACACTGCTTTGAATGTGTCCCAGAGATTCTGGTATGTTGTGTCTTTGTTCTCGTTGGTTTCATGCTGCTATAAAGACACATGCACTTGTATGTTTATTGTGGCACTATTCACAATAGCAAAGACTTGGAACCAACCCAAATGTCCAACAATGATAGACTGGACTAAGAAAATGTGACACATATACACTATGGAATACTATGGAGCCATAAAAAATGATGAGTTCATGTCCTTTGTAGGGACATGGATGAAATTGGAAATCATCATTCTCAGTAATCTATCACAAGGACAAAAAACCAAACACCACATGTTCTCACTCATAGGTGTGATTTGAACAATGAGAACTCATGGACACAGTAAGGGGAACATCACACTCTGGGGACTGTTGTGGGGTGGGGGGAGAGGAGAGGGATAGCATTAGAGATATACCTAATGCTAAATGATGAGTTAATGGGTGCAGGACACCAGACTGGCACATGTATACATATGTAACTAACTTGCACATTGTGCACATGTACCCTAAAACTTAAAGTATAATAATAATAAAATAAAATAAAATAAAAAGAAAGTACACATCACAAAGAAGTTTCTCAGAAAGTTTCTTTCTAGTTTTTATGTGAAGATATTTCCTTTTTCACCATTGTCCACAAAGTGCACCAAATATCTTTTGCAGATTGTACAAAAAGAGTTTTTCCAAACTGCTCAATCAAAAGAAAGTTTCAACTCTGTGAGATGAAAGCACAAATCACAAAGAAGTTACTCAGAATGCTTCCATCTAGTTTTTAAGTGAAGGTATTTCCTGTTACACCATAGGCCTCAAAGGGCTCACAAATATCCTTTTGCAGATTCTACAAAAAGACTGTTACAGAACTGCTCAATGAAAAGTAAGTTTCAACTCTGTGAGATGAATTCACACCTAAAAAAGTAGTATATCAGAATGCTTCTGTCTAGTTTATATGTGAAGATATTTCTTTGTCACCATAGACCTCAAACCGCTCAGAAATATCCCTATGCAGATGTTACAAAATGACTGTTTCCAGAATGCTCAATGAAAAGAAAGATTCTACTCTGTGAGATGAAAACACATATCACAAAGAATTTTCTCAGAAAGTTTTTTTCTAGCTTATATGTGAAGATATTTCCTCTTTCACCATAGGCCTCAATGGGCTCAAAAATATCTCTTTTCAGATACTACAAAAGGCCTCTTTCCAAACTGCTCAATCAAAAGAAAGTTTCAACTCTGTGAGATGAAAGCACACATCACAAATAAGTTTCTCAGAATGTTTGTCTAGTTTTTATGTGAAGATATTTCCTGTTTCACCATAGGTCATAAAGGTCTCACAAATATCCCTTTGCAGACTCTACAAAAAGACAGTTTCCAAACAGCTCAATCCAAAACAAAGGTTCAACTATATGAGATGAATGGACACATCACAAGGAAGTTTCTCAGAAAGCTTCTGCCTAGTTTTTATGTGAAGATATGTCTTTTTCACCATAGGCCTCAAATGGCTAAGAAATATCCCTTTGCAGATTGTACAAAAAGACTGTTTCCAAATTGCTCAATCAAAAGACAGGTTCAACTCTGTGAGATGAATGCGCATATCATAAAGAAGTTTCTCAGAAAGCTTCTGTCTAGTTTTTATGTGAAGATATTTCCTTTTTCACCATAGGTCTTAAACGGCTCCCAAATATCCCTCTGCAGATACTACAAAAAGACTGCTGGAAAACTGTTCAATCAAAGGAAACCTTCATCTCTGTGAAATGAATGCACACATCACAAAGAAGTTTCTCAGAATGCTTCTGTCTAGTTTTGTGTGAAGATATTTCCTTTTTCACAACAGGCATCAAAGTGCTCCAAATATCCATTTGCAGATTCTACAAAAAGTCTATTTCCAAACAGCTACATGAAAAGAAAGGTTCAACACTGTGAGATAAATGCACACATGAAAAAGAAGTTTCTCAGAATGCTTCTGTCTAGTTTTTATCTGACATATTTATTTTTCACCATAGGCCTCAAACCGTTCAGAAATATCCCTTTGCATATTGTACAAAAAGACTGTTTCCAAACTGTCAAATGCAAGGAAAGTTTCAACTCTGTGAGATGAATACAAACATCACAAAGAAGTTTCTCAGAAAGTTTCTGTCTAGTTTTTATGTGAAGATAATTCCTTCTTCACAATAGGCCTCAAAGTGCTCCAAATACCCATTTGCAGATTCCACAAAAAGACTGTTTCCAAAACGACTCAATCACAAAAAAAGGTTCAACTTTGTGAGATGAATGTGCACATCATAAAGAAGTTTCTCAGAATGCTTCTGTCTAGTTTTTATGTGAATATATTTCCTTTTTCACCATAGGCCTTAAACGGCTCCCAAATATCCCTCTGCAGATACTACAAAAAGGCTGCTTAAAAACTGTTCAATCAAAGGAAACCTTCATCTTTGTGAGATGAAACCACACATCACAAAGAAGTTCCTCATAATGCTTCTGTCTGGTTTTTATGTGAAGATATTTCATATTTCACCATAGGCCTCAAAGAGCTCACAAATATCCCTTTGCAGACTCTACAAAAGGACTGTTTTCAAACTGCTCCATGCAAAGAAAGGTTCAACTCTGTGAGACGAATGCACACATAAAAAAGAAGTTTCTCACAATGCTTCTGTCTAGTTTTTATGTGAAGATATTCCTTTTTCACCATAGGCACCAAACCGTTCAGAAATATCCCTTTGTAGATGTACAAAAAGACTGTTTCCAAACTGCTCAATCAAAAGAAATTTTCAAACCTGTGAGATGAAAGCACACATCACAAGGAAGTTTCTCAGAATGCTTCTGTCTAGTTTTTATGTGAAGATATTTCCTTTTTCACCATAGGGCTTAAACGGCTCCCAAATATGCCTTTGCAGATTGTAGATAAAGACTGTTTCCTAACTGCTCAATCAAAAGAACAGTTCAACTCTGTGAGATGAAACCACACATCACAAAGAAGTTTCTCAGAAATCTTCTGTCTAGTTTTTATGTGAAGATATTTCCCTTCTAACGATAGGCCTCAAAGCAATCCAATTATCGATTTGCAGATTCTACAAAATACTGTTTCCAAACTGCTTAATCAAAAGAAATTTTCAACTCTGTGAGATGAAAGCACACATCACAAAGAAGTTCTTCAGAAAGTTTCTCACTAGATTTTATGTGAAGATATTTAGTTTTTCACCACAAGCCACAAAGTGCTCCAAATATCCATTTGCAGATACTTCAAAAAGAGTTTTTCCAAACTGCTCAATCAAAAGAAAGTTTCAACTCTGTGAGATGAATGCAAACTCACAAAGAAGTTTCTCAGAATGCTTCTGTCTAGTTTTCCTGTGAAGATATTTCCCATTTCACCATGGGCCTCAGTGGGCTCACATATATCCTTTTCCAAATTCTATAAAAAGACTGTTTCTGAATTTTTCAATGGAAAGAAAGATTCAACTCTGGGAGATGAATGCACACATGAATAAGAAGTTTCTCAGAATGTCTCTGTCTAGTTTTTGTGTTAAGATATTTGTTTTTCACCATAGGCCTCAAACAGCTCAGAAATATCCCTTTGCAGATTGTACAAAAAGATGGTTTCCAAACTGCTCAATGAAAACAAAGGTTCAACACTGTGACATGAATACTCCCATCACAGAGAAGTTTTTCAGAAAGCTTCTGTTTAGTTTTTAAGTGAAAATATTTCCTTTTTCACCATAGGCCTCAAAGCAATCCAAATATCCTATTGCAAACTCTACAAAAAGAGAGTTTCCAAACTGTTCAATTAAAAGAAAGATTCAAATCTGTGAGAAGAAAGCACACATCATGAAGAAGTTTCTCATAATGCTTCTGTCTACTTTTTTTGTAAAGATATTTCCTATATCACCATAGGCCTCAAAGGTCTCAAAAATATCCCTTTGCAGACTCTACAAAAAGACAGTTTTAGAACTGCTAAATGAAAAGAAAGGTTCAACTCTGTGAGACGAAAGCACACATAATAAATTAGTTTATCATAATGCTTCTGTCTAGTTTTTATGTGAAGATATTTCTTTTTCACCATAGGCATCAAACCGTTCAGAAATATCCCTTTGTAGATTGTACAAAAAGACTGTTTCCAAACTGCTCAATCAAAAGAAAGGTTCAAACCGGTGAGATGAATGCACACATAAGAGAGGAGTTTCTCAGAAATCTTCTGTCTTGTTTTTATGTGAAGATATTACCTTTCTCAACATAGGCCTCAAAGCAATCGAAACATCCATTTGCAGATTCTACAAACAGACTGTTTCCAAACTGATCAATCAAAACAAATTTTTACCTCTCTGACATGAAAGCACACATCACAAAAATGTTACTCAAACAGCTTCTCTCTAGTATGTATGTGAAGATACTTCCTATTTCACCTGAGGCCATAAAGGGCTCACAAATATCCCTTTGAAGGTTTTACAAAAAGACTGTTTCCAAACTGCTCAATCAAAAAGCCTCTTTCCAACCTGCTCAATCTAAAGAAAGTTTCAACTCTGTGAGATGAATGCACACATCACAAGGAAGTTTCTCAGAAAACTTCTGTTTAGTTTTTATGTGAAGATATTTAGTTTTCCACCATGGGCCTCAAAAGCTCTCCAAATATCCATTTGCAGATTTTATAAAAAGAGTGTTTCCAAACTCCTCAATCAAAAGAAAGTTTTAATTCTGTGAGATGAAAGCACACATCACAAAGAAGTTTCTTGGAAAGCTTCTGTCTAGTTTTTATGTGAAGATACTTCACATTGCACCATAGTACTCAACGCGCTCAGAAATATCCCTTTGCAGATTCTACAAAAGGACTGTTTCAAAACTGCTCAATCCAAAGAAAGTTTCAACTATGTGAGATGAATGCACACATCACAAAGAAGTTCCTCAGAATGCTTCTGTCTAGTTTATATGTGAAGAAAATTCCTATTTCACCATAGGCAATAAAGGGCTCACAAATATTTTTGGCAGATTCTACAAAAATACTATATCCAAACTGTTAAATAAAAAGAAAGTTTCAACTCTGTTAGATTAATGGACACATCAAAAAGTAGTTTCTCAGAAAACTTCTGTTTAGTTTTTACATGAAGATATTTCCTTTGTCACCATTGGCCTCAAAGCACTCCTAATATCCATTTACAGATTTCACAAAAAGAGTGTTTCCAAACTGCTCAATCAAAAGAGAGTTTTAACTCTGTGAGATGAAAGCACACATCTCAAAGAAGTTCCTCAGAAAGCTTTGGTCTAGTTTTCATGTGAAG
>NC_000015.10:17076597-17083573 GCF_000001405.40 Homo sapiens
AGATATTTACTATTTCACTATAGGCTTCAAATGTCTGAAAAATATCCCTTTGCAGGTTCTACAAAAATATGGTTTCCAAAGTGCTGAATTAAAAGAAACCTTCAACTCTGTCAGATGAATGGAGACATCACAAAGAAGTTCCTCAGAATGCTTCTGTCTAGTTTAAATGTGAAGATATTTCTTTTTCACCATAGACCTCAAATGGCTCAGAAATATACCTTTGCAGAATGCAGAAAAAGACTGTTTCTAAACTGCTCAAACGAAATAGTTTCAACACTGTGAGATGAATGTGCACATCACAAAGAAGTTTCTCAGAAAGCTTCTGTCTAGTTTTTATGTGAAGATATTTCCTTTTTCACCATAGGCCTTAAACCACTCACAAATATCCTTCTGCTGATACTGTAAAAAGACTGTTTCCAAACTGCTCCATCAAAAGAAAAGTTCAAGTCTCTGAGATCAATGCACACATCACAAAGAAGTTTCTCAGAAATCTTCTGTCTAGTTTTTATGTGAAGATATTTCCCTTCTAACGATAGGCCTCAAAGCGCTCCAATTATCAATTTGCAGATTCTACAAAATACTGTTTCCAAACTGCTCAATCAAAAGAAATTTTCAACTCTGTGAGACGAAAGCACACATCACAAAGAAGTTTCTCAGAAATCTTCTGACTAGTTTTTATGTGAAGATATTTCCTATTTCACCATAGGCCTCAATGGGCTCACAAATATCCCTTTGCTGATTTTACAAAAGGACTGTTTTGAAGCTGCTCAATCAGAAGAAAGGTTAAACTCTGTGAGATGAATGCATACATCCCAAAGAAGTTTCTCAGAATGCTTCTTTCTAGTTTTCAGGTGAAGATATTTCTTTTTTCACCATAGGCCTCAAAGCACTCCAAATATCCATTTGCATATTCTACAAAAAGGCTGTTTCCAAACTCCTCAATCAAAAGAGAGGTTCAACTCTGTTTAATGAAAGCACACTTCATGAAGAAGTTTCTCAGAATGCCTCTGTCTAGTTTTTATGTGAAGATATTTCCTATTTCACCTTAGGCCATAAAGGGCTCACAAATATCCCTCTGCAGATTCTAGAAAAGAACTCTTTTCAAACTGCTAAATAAAAAGAAAGGTTCAACTCTGTGAGATGAATGCATACATTGCAAAGAAGTTTTCTGAAAGCTTCTGTCCACTTTTTATGTGAAGATATTTCCCTTTTCACCATACCTATCAAAGCGCTCAAAATGTCCCTTTGCAAATTCTCTGAAAAGACTGTTTCCAAACTTCTCAATCAAAAGAGTGGTTCATCTCTGTGAGATGAATGCACATATCACAAAGAAGTTTCTCTGAAATCTTCAGTGTAGTTTTTATGTGAGGATATTTCCTTTTTCACCATAGATCTCAAGCCACTCACAAATATCCCTTTGCAGATTTTACAAGAACAGAGTTTCCAGACTCATCAAAGAATAGAAACTTTTTTCTCTCTGAGATGAGTGCACACCTTGCAAAACAGCTTCTCAGAAACATTCTTTATAGTTTTTATTGAAGAGATTTCCTTTTTCACCATAGGTCTCATAGAGCTGACAAATATCACTTTGCAGATTCTACAAAAAGTCTGTTTACAAACTGCTCAATCAAAAGAATGCTTCAACTCTGCGAGATGAATGCCCACATCACAAAGAGGTTTCTCCAAAATCTTCTGTCTAGTTTTTACATGAAGATATTTCCTTTCTCACCATAGGCCTCAAAGGGCTCACAAATATCCCTTTGCAGATTCTACAAATTGACAGTTTTCAAACTGTTCAGTCAAAAGACTGTTTCAACTCTGTGAGATGAATGCACACATGACAGGGAGGTTTCTCAGAGAACTTCTGTCTATTTATTATGTGAAGGTATTTCCTTTTTCACCAAAGGCCTCAAAGTGCTCACAAATATCTCCTTGCAGGTTCTACAATAACAGAGTATCCAAACTGATTAATCAAAAGAATGCTTCACATAAAATCTCTAGAAAAAAACCTAGGCAATACCATTCAGGACATAGGCATGGGCAAGGACTTCATGTCTAAAACACCTAAAGCAATGGCAACAAAAGCCACAATTGACAAATGGGATCTAATTAAACTAAGGAGCTTCTGCACAGCAAAAGAAACCACCATCAGAGTGAAAAGGAATCCTACAGAATGGGAGAATATTTTTGCAACCTACTCATCTGACAAAGGGCTAATATGAGGAATCCACAATGAACCCAGACTAATTTACAGGAAAAAAAACAACCCAATCAAAAAGTGGGAGAAGGATATGAACAGACATTTCTCAAAAGAAGACATTTATGCAGCCAATGAACAAATGAAAAAATGCTCATCTTCACTGGCCATCAGAGAAATGCAAGTCAAAATCACAATGAGATACCATCTCACAACAGTTAGAATGGTGATCATTAAAAAGTCAGGAAAAAACAGGTGCTGGAGAGGATGTGAGAAATAGGAACACTTTTGCACTGTTGGTGGGACTGTAAACTAGTTCAACCACTGTGGAAGTCGGTATGGTGATTCCTCAGGGATCTAGAACTAGAAATACCATTTGACCTAGCCATCCCCTTACTGGGTATATACCCAAAGGATTATAAATCATGCTGCTATAAAGACACATGCACACGTATGTTTATAGTGGCACTATTCACAGTAGCAAAGACTTGGAACCAATGTAAATGTCCAACAACTATAGACTGAATGAAGAAAATGTGGCACATATACATCATGGAACACTATGTGGCCATAAAAAATGATGAGTTCATGTCCTTTGTAGGGACATAGATGAAGCTGGAAACCATCATTCTCAGCGAACTATTGCAAGGACAAAAAATCAAACACCACATGTTCTCACTCATAGTTGGGAATTGATCAAAGAGAACACATGGACACAGAAAGGGAACCATCACACACCACACACCAGGGACTGTAGTCCGGTATGGGGAGGGGGAGGGATAGACTTAGGAGATATACCTAATGCTAAATGATGAGTTCATGGGTGCAGCACACAAACATGACACATGTATACATACGTAACAAACCTGCACGTTGTACACGTTCCCTAAAACATAAAGTATAATAATAATAAAAGTAAATAAATAATTTATTAAACCGAGAGCTCCAAAATAAAAATAAGAATGGTTCAACTCTATGAGATGAATGCACACATCACAAATAAGTTTCTCAGAAAGTTTCTGTCTACATTTTCTATGAAGATATTTCCTTTTTCACCATAGGCCTCAAAGTACTCACAAATATCCCTTTGCAGATTCTACAAAAAAAGAATTTCCCATCTGCTCAATGAAAAGAAATGTTTACCTCTGTGAGATGAATGCACACATTACAAAGCAGTTCCTCAGAAGCCTTCTGTATAGTTTTTATGTGAAGATATTTACTTTTTCCCCATAGGCCTCAAAGCACTCACAAATATCCCTTGCTGATTCTACAAAAAGACTGTTTCCAAACAGCTCAATCAAAAGAATGGTTCAACTGATTCAGATGAGTGCACACATAACACAGAAGTGTCCCAGAAAGCTTCCATCTAGTTTTCATGTGAACATATTTCCTTTTCCACCACTGGTCCACAAGTGTTCACAAATAATCCTTCGCAGATTCTACAAAAAGACGGTTTCCAATACACTCAATCAATACAAAGGTTCAATTCTGTGAGATGAATTCACACATCAAAAAGCAGTTTCTCAGAAACCTTCTTTCTAGCTTTTCTGTGAAGATATTTCCTTTTTCACCATAGGCTTCAAAGCGCTCACAAATATCTTTTTGCAGATACTACAAAAAGACTGTGACCAAACTGCTCAATCAATAGAATGGTTCAACTATGTGAGATGAATGCACACACCACAAAAAAGTTTCCCAGAAAGTTTCTGTCTAGTTTTCATGTGAAGATCGGATTGCAGTGAAATGGAATGGAATGGAATGGAATGGAATGGAATGGAATGGAATGGAATGGAATGGAATGGAGTGGAATGGAATGGAATGGAATGGAATGGAGTGGAACGGAATGGAAGGGAATGGAATGGATTGGAGAGGTAAAGAATGGAATGGAATGGAGTGGAGTGGAGTGGAGTGAATTGGATTGGACTGGAGTGCAGTGGAGAGGAGTGGAATGGAATGGAGTGGATTTGAAAGGAATGGAATGGAATGCGGTGGAGTGGAATGGAATGGAGAGGAATGGAAAGGAGTGGAGTGGAATGGAATGGAGTGGAGTGGAGTGGAATGGAATGGAATGGAGTGGAGTGGAGTGGATTGGAGTGGAGTGGAGTTGAAAGGAGTGGAATGGTATGGAATGGAATTGAATGGAATGGAGTGGAACGGAATGGAATGGAGTGGAGTAGAGTGGAGAGGAGAAGAGTGGAATGGAGTGGAATGGAGTGAAATGGAGTGGAGTGGAATCGAGTGGAGTGGAATTAAATGGAGTAGAAAGGAACAGAACGGAATGGAACTGAATGGAATGGAATGGAACGCAGTGGAATGGAGTGGAGTGCAGTGGAGTTGAGTAGAGTGGATTGCAATGCAGTGGAATGGAATGGAATGGAATGGAGTGGAGTGCAGTGGATTAGAGTGGAGTGCAGTGGAGAGGAATGGAGTGGAATGTCATAGAGTGGAGTAGAATGGAATGGAATGGAACGGAATGGAATGGAAGGGTAAGGAATGGAATGCAATGGTACAGAACAGAAAGAAGTACAGTGGAGTGGAGTTGAGTGGAGAGGATCGGAGTGCAGTGGAATGGAATGGAGTAGAGTGCAATGGAGTGGACTGGAGTGGAATGGAATGGAATGGAGTGGAATGGAATGGAATGGAATTGAGTGGAGTGGAATGGAATGGAGTGGAACGGAGTGGAAAAGAGTGGAATGGAATGGAGTGGAGTGGAATAGAGTGGAGTGGAGTGAAATAGAATGGATTAGAATGGAATGGAAGGGTGTGGAGAGGAGTGGAGTGGATTGGAGTGAGGTGGAATGCAATGGAGTAGAATGGAATGGAGTGGAGTGGAGTTGAGTGGAGTGGATCGGAGTGCAGTGGAAAGGAATGGAATGGAGTGGAGTGGAGAGGAATTTAATGGAATGGAGTGGATTGGAATGCAGTGGATTGGAAAGGAACGGAATGGAAAAGAAAGGAATGGAATGGCATGTAATGGAATGGAATGGAATGGAACGGAATGGAGTGGAGAGGAGTGCAGTGGAGTTGAGTCAATTGGATATGAGAGCAGTGGAATGGAATGCAGTGGAATAGAATGGAATTGAATGGAATGGAATGGAATGGAGTTGAATGGCATGGAATGGAATGGAATGGAATGGTGAAATGAAATGTAAGCTAAGATTATGCCACTGCACTCCAGTCTGGGTGACAGAGTGAGATCCATTTGAAATAAATGAATGGAATGGAATGTAGTAGAATGGAATGGAATGGAGTGGAGTGGAGTGCAATGGAGTGGAGTGGAACGGAGGGGAATGGAATGCAGTGGAGTGGAATGGAATGGAATGCAATGGAATAGAATGGAACATAATGGAATGGAATGGAACGGAATGAAGTGGAATGGAGTGGAGTACAGTTGAGTGGAGTGAATCGGAGTGGAGTGGAATGGAATGGAATGAAATGGAATGGCAAGGAATAGAGTGGAGTGGAATGGAATGGATTGGAGTGGAGTGGAGTGGAGTGGAATGGAAAGGAATGGAATGGAATGCAATGGAATGGAATGGAATGGTGAAATGTAATGTGAGCTAAGATTGTGTCACTGCACTACAGTCTGCGTGACAGAGTGACATCCAATAGAAATAAAGGAATGAAATGTAATAGAGTAGAGTGGAATGGAATGGAGTGCAGTGGAATGGAATGGAGTGGAATGGAGAGGAGTGGAGTGGAATGGAGTGCAGTGGAATGGAGTGGAGTGGAAAGGAGTGGAATGCAATGAAATGGAATAGAGAGGAATTGAATGGAATGGAATGAAGTGGAATGGAGGATAATAGAGTAGAGTGGAGTAGAATGGAGTGGAGTGGAATGGAGTGTAGTGGAATGGAGTGGAATGGAATGGAAAGGAATGGAATGGAATGGAGTGAAATGGAGTGGAATGGAGTGGAGTGGAATGGAATGGGGAGGAATGGAACGGAATGGTACAGAACGGAATGCAATGGAATGGAATGGAGTGTAGTGTAGTATAGTGGAGTTGAGAGGAGTGGATCGGAGTGCAGTGGAATGGAATGGAATTGAGTGGAGTGGAGTGGAGCGGAGTGGAATGGAGTAGAATAGAGTGGAGTGGAATGGAGAGGAATGGAATGGAATGGAATTCAACTGAATGGAAGGGAAAGGAGTGGAGAGGAGAGGAGTGGAGTGGAGTTGAGTGGAGTGGATCGGAGTGCAGTGGAATGGAGTGGAGTGGAGTGGAATGGAATGGAGTGGAATGGAATGGAGTGGAGTAGAGTGGAGTGGAGTGGATCGGAGTGCAGTGGAATGGAATGGAATGGGATGGAAGGGAGTAGAGTGGAATGGAATGGAGTGGAGTGTAATGGAATGGAGCGGAAGGGAATGGAGTGGAGTGGAGTGGAGTGAAGTAGATCAGAGTGCAGTGGAAGGGAATGGAATGGAGTGGAGTGGAGGGGAGTGGAATGGAGTGGAATGGAATGTTTTGAAATGGAATGGAACGAAATGTAATGGAACGGAATGGAAAGGAGTGGAGTGGAGTGTAGGTGAGTGGAGTGGATCGGAGAGCACTGGACTGGAATGGAATGGAATAGAATGGAGTGGAATGGAATGGAATTTAATAGAATGGAGTGGATTGGAGAGGAGTGGACTTTAGTGGAGTGCAGTGGAATGGAATGGAGTGGAGTGAAGTGGAGCGGAGGGGCGTGGAGTTGAGTGGAATGGAATGAAATGGAGTGCAGTGGAGTGGAGTGGAATGGAATGGAATGGAATGGAATGCAGTGGGATGGAATGGAATGGAAT
>NC_000015.10:17383673-17498951 GCF_000001405.40 Homo sapiens
ACATCTTTGTGAGGTGTGCAATGAAGTCACAGAGTTGAAACTATCTTTTGATTCAGCAGTTTTGAGTCTCTCTTTTTGCAGAATCTGCGAGTGGATATCTGGAGAACGTTGAGGCCTACTTGGAAAAGGAAATATCTTCACATAAAAACTACGCAGAAGCATTTTGAGATACTTCTTTGTGAGGTGTGCATTCAACTCACAGAGTTGAACTTATCTTTCCATGGAGCACTTTCATATCTCTTTTTTTGTGGAATCTGCAAGTGGATATTTGGAGCTCTTTGCACCCTGTGGTGGAAAGGGAAATATCTTCATATAAAAACTACAAAGAAGCATTCAGAGAAACTTCTTTGTGATGAATGCATTCCTCACACAGAGTTGAGCCTTTCTTTTTATTGAGCAGTATTGAAACGCTCTTTTTGCAGAATCACCAAGTGGATATTTGGAGAGCTTTGGGGCCTGATTTGGAAAATGAAATATCTTCAAAGTAAAACTACACAGAACCATTCTGAGAAACTTCTTCATGATGTGAGCATTCAACTCTCAGAGTTGAAGCTACCTTATGATTGAGCAATTTGGAAACACTCTTTTTGTAGAGCCTGCAAGTGGATATTTAGAACGATTTGAGGCCTATTGTGGAAAAGCAAATATCTTCACATAAAAACTACACAGAAGCATTCTCAGAGACTTCTTTGGGATGTGTGCATTCAACTAACAGTGTTGAACCTATCTTTTGATTGAGCAGCTTAGAATCTCTCCTTTTGTAGAAAATGCAAGTAGAGATTTGGAGCCCCATTTCGCCCTATGGTAGAAAACAGAACATCTTCACATAAAAACTACGCAGAAAGCATTCTGAGAAACTTCTTTGTGATGTTTGCATTGAACTCCCAGAGACGAACCTATCTTTTGATAGAGCAGTTTTGTATCTCTCTTTTTGCAGAATCTGCAAGTGGATATTTGGAAAGCTTGAGGCCTATTGTGAAAAAGGAAATATCTTCACATAGAAACTACAGAGAAGCATTCTGAGAAACTTCTCTGTGAGGCATGGATTCAACCCACAGAGTTGGACTTATCATTGAGCAGTTTTGAATCTCTCTTTTGGTCGAATCTGCAAGTGGATATTTGGAGCCCTTTTGCAACCTATGGTGGAAAAGGAAACACCTTCACATAAAAACTATATAGAAGCATTCTGAGAAACTTCTTTGTGATGTGTGCATGCATCTCACACTGTTGGACGTTTCTTTTGATAGGGCAGTTTCGAAAGAGTCTTCTTGTAGAGTCTGCAAGTGGATATTTGGAGCGCTTTGAGGCCTAATGTGGAAAATCAAATATCTTCACATAAAAACTACACAGAGGCATTCTGAGAAACTTCTTTTTTGTGTGTGCATTCAACTCACATAGTTGAAGTAATCTTTGGATTTAGCTGTTTTGAATCTCCTTTTTGCAGAATCTGCAAGTTGATACTTGGAGCCCTGTTTTACCCTATAGTGGAAAAGCAAATATCTTCACATAAACAAACCCTACAGAGAAGCATTCAGAGAAAGTCCTTTGTGATGTGTGCATTGAACATGCAGAGTTGACACTATCTTTTGATTGTACAGTTTTGAATACGTCTTTTTGTAGAATCTGCAAGTGGAAGTTTGGAGCTGTTTGCACCCTGTGGTGTAAAAGGAAATATCTTCATATAAAAGCTACACAGAAGCATTCAGAAAGACTTCTTTGTGATGAATGCGTTCCTCACACAGAGTTGAATCTTCCTTTTTATTGAGTAGTATTGAAACCCTCTTTTTGCAGAATAACCAGGTGGATATTTGGAGAGCTTTGAGGCCTGTTTTGGAAAAGCAAATATCTTCAAATTAAAACCACACAGAAGCATTCTGAGAAGCTTCTTTGTGATGTGTGCATTCAACTCTCAGAGTTCAACGTGTCTTATGATGGAGCAGTTTGGAAACACTCTTTTTTGTAGAAACTGCAAGTGGATATGTAGAGCGATTTGAGGCCTACTGTGGAAAAGCAAATATCTTCACATAACAACTACACAGAAGCACTCCTAGAAACTTCTTTGTGATGTGTGAATTCAACTCACAGAGCTGAACCTATCTTTTGATGGAGTAGCTTAGAATCTCTCTTTTTTTAGAATCTGCACGTGGATATTTGGAGCGCTTTGAGACCTAAAGTGGAAAAGCAAATATCTTCACATAAAATCTACATAGAGGCACTCTAAGAAACTTCTTTTTGATGTGTGCATTCACCTCACAGAGCTGAACCGATCCTTTGAGTGACCAGTTTTGAATCTCTCTTTTTATACAATCTGCAAGTGGATATTTGGAGCCCTTTGCGGCCTATGGTGGAAAAGGAAATATCTTCAAATAAAAACTACACAGAAATACTGTGAGAAACTTCTTTGTTATGTGAGCATTCAACTCACAGAGCTGAACCTATCTTTTGATTGAGCAGTTTTGAATCTCTCATTTTGCAGAATCTGCAAGGGGATATTTGGAGCCCTTTGCTACCTAGGGTGGAAAAGGAAATACCTCCAAATAAAAACTACACAGAGGCATTCTGAGAAACTTCTTGTGATTGTGCATTCAACTCACAGAGTTAAACCTATCTTATGATTGACCAGTTTTGGAACACTGTTTTCACAGGATCTGCAAGTGGATATTTGGTGTGCTTTGAGGCCTATCGTGGAAAAGCAAGTAACTTCAGATAAAAACTATACAGAAGCATTCTGAGAAACTTCTTTGTGATGTGTGCATTGATCTCACAGAGTTGAAAGTGTATTTTGATTGAGCAGTTTTGAAACACTCTTTTTGTAGAATCTGCAAGTGGATAATTGGGGAGATTTGAGGTATATTGTGGAAAAGCAAGTATCTTCATATAAAAACTATACAGAAGCTTTCTGAGAAACATCTTTGTGAGGTTTGCATTCAACTCACAGAGCTGGAACTATCTTTTGAGTGACCAGTTTTGAATCTCTCTTTTTGTACAATCTGCAAGTGGATATTTGGAGCGTTTTGAGGCCTACATTTGAAAATCAAATATCTTCCCTTAAAAGCTACACAGAAACATTCTCAGAAATTGTTTGTCATGTGTGCTTTCAAATTACCAAGTTGAACCTACCTTGTGATTGAGCAGTTTTGAATCTCTCTTTTTGTGGAATCTGCAAGTGGATATTTTTAGCCATTTGCGGACTGTGGTGGAAAAGGAATTATCTTCAAATCCATTCTACACAGAAGCATTCAGACAAACTTTTTGTGATGAGTGCATTGGTCACACAGAATTGAACCTCTCCTTTGATTGAGCAATTCTGAAACACTCTTTCAGAGGGTCTGCAAGTGGATATTTTAGAGCTTTGGGACAATTGTGGAAAAGTAAATATCTTCACATAGAAACTACACGGAAGCATTCTGAGAAACTTCTTTGGAGGTGTGCATTCAACTCACAGAGTTGAACCTATCTTTTCATTGAGCAGTTTTGAATCTCTCTTTTTGTAGACTCTGCTTGCAGATACTTGGAGAGCTTTGAGGCCTATTGTGGAAAAGGAATCATCTTCACATAAAAACACACAGAAGCACTCTGAGAAACTTCTTTGTGAAGTGTGCATTCAACTCACAGAGTTGAACCTATCTTTTGATTGAGAAGCTTTGAATCTCTCTTTTTGTAGAAGCTGCATGTGGATATTTGGAGACGTTTGTGGCCTATGGTAGAAAAGGCAATATCTTCAAATAAAAACTAGACAGAAGCATTTTGAGAAATTTCTCTGTGCTGTGTGCATTCATATCACATGGTTGAAACTACCTTTTGGTTGAGCAGTTTTGAATCTCTCTTTTTGTAACATCTGCAATGGATATTTGGAGCCCTTTGTGGTCTGTGGTGGAAAAGGAACTATCCTCAAATAAAAACTACACAGAAGTATTCCGAGAAACTTCCTTGTGATGTGTGCATTCATCTCACAGGGTTGAACCTTTGGTTTGATTGAGCAGTTTTGAGACAATCTTTCCATAGAATCTGGAAGTGAATATTTGGAGAACCTTGAGATCTATTTTGGAGAAGGAGATATCTTTATATGAAAACTGCACAGAAGCATTCTGAGAAACATCTTTGTGAGGTGTGCAATGAAGTCACAGAGTTGAAACTATGTTTTGATTCAGCAGTTTTGAGTCTCTCTTTTTGCAGAATCTGCGAGTGGATATCTGGAGAACTTGGAGGCCTATTTGGAAAAGGAAATATCTTCACATATAAACTATGCAGAAGCATTTTGAGATTCTTCTTTGTGAGGTGTGCATGCAACTCACAGAGTTGAACTTATCTTTTCCTTGAGCACTTTCATATCTCATTTTCTGTAGAATCTGCAAGTGGATATTTGGAGCTCTTTGCACCCTGTGGTGGAAAGGGAACTATCTTCATATAAAAACTACAAAGAAGCATTCAGAGAAACTTCTTGTGATGAATGCATTCCTCACACAGAGCTGAACCTTTCTTTTTATGGAGCAGTATTGAAACGCTCTTTTTGCAGAATCACCAAGTGGATATTTGGAGAGCTTTGGGGCCTGTTTTGGAAAATGAAATATCTTCAAAGTAAAACTACACAGAACCATTCTGAGAAACTTCTTTATGATGTGTGCATTCAACTCTCAGAGTTGAACCTACCTTATGATTGAGCAATTTGGAAACACTCTTTTTGTAGAGCCTGCAAGTGGATATTTAGAACGATTTGAGGCCTATTGTGGAAAAGCAAATATCTTCACATAAAAACTACACAGAAGCATTCTGAGAAACTTCTTTGGCATGTGTGCATTCAACTAACAGTGTTGAACGTATCTTTTGATTGAGCAGCTTAGAATCTCTCTTTTTGTAGAAAATGCAAGTAGATATTTGGAGCCCCATTTTGCCCTATGGTAGAAAACAAAACATCTTCACATAAAATCTACACAGAAGCATTCTGAGAAACTTCTTTGTGATGTTTGCATTGAACTCCCAGAGTCGAACCTATCTTTTGATAGAGCACTTTTGTATCTCTCTTTTTGCGGAATCTGCAAGTGGATATTTGGAAAGCTTGAGGCCTATTGTGAAAAAGGAAATATCTTCACATAAAAACTACAGAGAAGCATTCTGAGAAACTTCTTTGTGAGGCATGGATTCAACCCACAGAGTTGGACTTGTCATTGAGCAGTTTTGAATCTCTCTTTTTGTCGAATCTGCAAGTGGATATTTGGAGCCCTTTGCAACCTAGGGTGGAAAAGGAAATACCTTCAAATAAAAACTATATAGAAGCATTCCGTAAAACTTCTTTGTGACGTGTGCATTCGTCTCACAGAGTTGAACCTATCTAATGATTGAGCGGTTTTGAAACACTCATTTTGTAGAACCTGCAAGTGGATATTGGGAGTACTTTGTGGCCTTCTTTGGAAAAGGGAATATCTTCACATAAAAATTACAAAGAAGCATTCTGAGAAACTTCTTTGTGATGTGTGCATGCATCTCACAGTGTTGGACGTTTCTTTTGATAGGGCAGTTTCGAAAGAGTCTTCTTGTAGAGTCTGCAAGTGGATATTTGGAGCGCTTTGAGGCCTAATGTGGAAAATCAAATATCTTCACATAAAAACTACACAGAGGCATTCTGAGAAACTTCTTTTTTGTGTGTGCATTCAACTCACATAGTTGAAGTTATCTTTGGATTTAGCTGTTTTGAATCTCCTTTTTGCAGAATCTGCAAGTTGATACCTGGAGCCCTGTTTCACCCTATAGTGGAAAAGCAAATATCTCCACATAAACAAACACTACAGAGAAGCATTCAGAGAAAGTCCTTTGTGATGTGTGCATTGAACACGCAGAGTTGAAACTATCTTTTGATTGTACAGTTTTGAATATCTCTTTTTGTAGAATCTGCAAGTGGAAGTTTGGAGCTGTTTGCACGCTGTGGTGCAAAAGGAAATATCTTCATATAAAAACTACACAGAAGCTTTCAGAGAGACTTCTTTGTGAGGAATGCGTTCCTCACACAGAGTTGAATCTACCTTTTTATTGAGTAGTTTTGAAACCCTCTTTTTGCAGAATAACCAGAGGGATATTTGGAGAGCTTTGAGGCCTGTTTTGGAAAAGGAAATATCTTCAAATTAAAACCACACAGACGCATTCTGAGAAACTTCTTTGTGATGTGTGCATTCAACTCTCAGAGTTGAACGTGTCTTATGATGGAGCAGTTTGGAAACACTCTTTTTGTAGAAACTGCAAGTGGATATGTAGAGCGATTTGAGGCCTACTGTGGAAAAGCAAATATCTTCACATAACAACTACACAGAAGCACTCCTAGAAACTTCTTTGTGATGTGTGAATTCAACTCACAGAGCTGAACCTATCTTTTGATGGAGTAGCTTAGAATGTCTCTTTTTTTAGAATCTGCACGTGGATATTTGGAGCGCTTTGAGACCTAAAGTGGAAAAGCAAATATCTTCACATAAAATCTACATAGAGGCACTCTAAGAAACTTCTTTTTGATGTGTGCATTCAACTCACAGAGCGGAAGCACACAGTGCTTGAGTGACCAGTTTTGAATCTCTCTTTTTGTACAATCTGCAAGTGGATATTGGGAGCCCTTTGCGGCCTGTGGTGGAAAAGGAAATATCTTCAAATAAAAACTACACAGAAGCATTCTGAGAAACTTCTTTGTGATGTGTACATTCATCTCACAGAGTTGACAATTTCTTTTGATTGAGCAGTTTTGAAACACTGCTTTTGTAGAGTCTGGAAGTTGATATTTGGAGGGCTTTGAGGTCTATTTCGGAAAAGAAAATATCTTCACTTAAAAACTAGGCAGAAATACTGTGAGAAACTTCTTTGTTATGTGAGCATTCAACTCACAGAGCTGAACCTATCTTTTGATTGAGCAGTTTTGAATCTCTCATTTTGCAGAATCTGCAAGGGGATATTTGGAGCCCTTTGCTACCTAGGGTGGAAAAGGAAATACCTCCAAATAAAAACTACACAGAGGCATTCTGAGAAACTTCTTGTGATTGTGCATTCAACTCACAGAGTTAAACCTATCTTATGATTGACCAGTTTTGGAACACTGTTTTCACAGGATCTGCAAGTGGATATTTGGTGTGCTTTGAGGCCTATCGTGGAAAAGCAAGTAACTTCAGATAAAAACTATACAGAAGCATTCTGAGAAACTTCTTTGTGATGTGTGCATTGATCTCACAGAGTTGAAAGTGTATTTTGATTGAGCAGTTTTAAAACACTCCTTCTGTAGAATCTGCAAGTGGATAATTGGAGAGATTTGAGGTATGTTGTGGAAAAGCAAATATCTTCATATAAAAACTATACAGAAGCCTTCTGAGAAACATCTTTGTGAGGTTTGCATTCAACTCACAGAGCTGGACCTATCTCTTGAGTGACCAGTTTTGAATCTCTCTTTTTGTTCAATCTGCAAGTGGATATTTGGAGCGATTTGAGGCCTACATTTGAAAATCAAATATCTTCCCTTAAAAACTACACAGAAACATTCTCAGAAATTGTTTGTCATGTGGGCTTTCAAATTACCAAGTTGAACCTATCTTGTGATTGAGCAGTTCTGAATCTCTCTTTTTGTGGAATCTGCAAATGGATATTTTTAGCCCTTTGCGGACTGTGGTGGAAAAGGAATTATCTTCAAATCCATTCTACACAGAAGCATTCAGACAAACTTCTTGGTGATGAGTGCATTGGTCACACAGAATTGAACCTCTCCTTTGATTGAGCAATTCTGAAACACTCTTTCAGAGGGTCTGCAAGTGGATATTTTAGAGCTTTGGGACAATTGTGGAAAAGTAAATATCTTCACATAAAAACTACACGGAAGCATTCTGAGAAACTTCTTTGGAGGTGTGCATTCAACTCACAGAGTTGAACCTATCTTTTCACTGAGCAGTTTTGAATCTCTCTTTTTGTAGACTCTGCTTACAGATATTTGGAGAGCTTTGAGGCCTATTGTGGAAAAGAGAATATGTTCACATAAAAACACACAGAAGCACTCTGAGCAAACTTCTTTGTGAGATGTGCATTCAACTCACAGAGTTGAACCTATCTTTTGATGGAGAAGTTTTGAATCTCTCTTTTTGTAGAAGCTGCATGTGGATATTTGGCGACGTTTGTGGCCTATGGTAGAAAAGGAAATATCTTCAAATAAAAACTAGACAGAAGCATTTTGAGAAAGTTCTCTGTTCTGTGTGCATTCATATCACATGGTTGAAACTACCTTTTGATTGAGCAGTTTCGAGTCTCTCTGTTTGTACCATCTGCAATGGATATTTGGAGCCCTTTGTGGTCTGTGGTGGAAAAGGAACTATCCTCAAATAAAAACTACACGGAAGTATTCTGAGAAACTTCTTTGTGATGTGTGCATTTATCTCACAGAGTTGAACCTTTGGTTTGATTGAGCAGTTTTGAGATAATCTTTCCATAGAATCTGGAAGTGAATACTTGGATAACTTTGAGATCTATTTTGGAGAAGGAGATATCTTTATATAAAAACTGCACAGAAGCATTCTGAGAAACATGTTTGTGAGGTGTGCAATGAAGTCACAGAGTTGAAACTATCTTTTGATTCAGCAGTTTTGAGTCTCTCTTTTTGCAGAATCTGCGAGTGGATATCTGGAGAACTTTGAGGCCTATTTGGAAAAGGAAATATCTTCACATAAAAACTACGCAGAAGCATTTTGAGATACTTCTTTGTGAGGTGTGCATTCCACTCACAGAGTTGAACTTATCTTTCCATGGAGCACTTTCATATCTCTTTCTTTGTGGAATCTGCAAGTGGATATTTGGAGGTCTTTGCACCCTGTGGTGGAAAGGGAAATATCTTCATATAAAAACTACAAAGAAGCATTCAGAGAAACTTCTTTGTGATGAATGCATTCCTCACACAGAGTTGAGCCTTTCTTTTTACTGAGCAGTATTGAAACGCTCTTTTTGCAGAATCACCAAGTGGATATTTGGAGAGCTTTGGGGCCTCATTTGGAAAATGAAATATCTTCAAAGTAAAACTACACAGAACCATTCTGAGAAACTTCTTTATGATGTTAGCATTCAACTCTCAGAGTTGAAGCTACCTTATGATTGAGCAATTTGGAAACACTCTTTTTGTAGAGCCTGCAAGTGGATATTTAGAACGATTTGAGGCCTATTGTGGAAAAGCAAATATCTTCACATAAAAACTACACAGAAGCATTCTGAGAAACTTCGTTGGGATGTGTGCATTCAACTAACAGTGTTGAACCTATCTTTTGATTGAGCAGCTTAGAATCTCTCCTTTTGTAGAAAATGCAAGTAGAGATTTGGAGCCCCATTTCGCCCTATGGTAGAAAACAGAACATCTTCACATAAAAACTACACAGAAGCATTCTGAGAATCTTCTTTGTGATGTTTGCATTGAACTCACAGAGTCGAACCTATCTTTTGATAGAGCAGTTTTGTATCTCTCTTTTTGCAGAATCTGCAAGTGGATATTTGGAAAGCTTGAGGCCTATTGTGAAAAAGGAAATATCTTCACATAGAAACTACAGAGAAGCATTCTGAGAAACTACTTTGTGATGTGTGCATTCAACTCACAGAGTTGAACCTATCTTTTGATTGAGCAGTTTAAAATATTTTTTTTTGTAGAATCAGCAAGTGGATATTTGGAGCCCTTTGCTACCTTTGGTGGAAAAGGAAATACCTTCAAATAAAAACTACATAGAAGCATTCTGAAAAATTTCTTGGTGATGTGTGCATTCTTCTCACAGGGTTGAACCTATCTAATGACTGAGCAGTCTTGAAACACTCATTTTGTAGAAACTGCAAGTGGATATTTGGTGCGCTTTGAGGGCTTCGTGGAAAAGCAAATATCTTCACATAAAAACTACACAGAAGCATTCTGAGAAACTTCTGCGTGATGTGTGCATTCATCTCACAGTGTTGGACGTTTCTTTTGATTGAGCAGTTTTGAAACACTCTTTTTGTAGAATCTGCAAGTGGATATTTGGAGCGCTTTGAGGCCTAATGTGGAAAATCAAATATCTTCACATAAAAACTACACAGAGGCATTCTGAGAAACTTCTTTGTTTTGTGTGCATTCAACTCACATAGTTGAAGTTATCTTTTGATTGAGATGCTTTGAATCTCCTTTTTGCAAAATCTACACGTGGATATTTGGAGCCCTATTTCACCCTATAGTGGAAAAGCAGATATCTTCACATAAACAAACACTACACAGAAGCATTCAGAGAAAGTTCTTTGTGATGTGTGCATTGAACATGCAGAATTGAAACTATCTTTTCATTGTACAGTTTTGAATATCTCTTTTTGTAGAATCTGCAAGTGGAAGTTTGGAGCTCTTTGCACCCTGTGGTGTAGAAGTAAATATGTTCATATAAAAACTACACAGAAGCATTCAGAGAGACTTCTTTGTGATGAATGCATTCCTCACACAGAGTTGAATCTTTCTTTTTATTGAGTACTATTGAAATCTTCTTTTTGCAGAAT
Source organism: Homo sapiens (assembly GCF_000001405.40). Lineage (NCBI taxonomy): Eukaryota > Metazoa > Chordata > Mammalia > Primates > Hominidae > Homo > Homo sapiens. Next base: position 17,394,174 of record NC_000015.10, read on the forward strand.
CACCAAGTGGATATTTGGAGAGCTTTGAGGCCTGTTTTGGAAAAGGAAATATCTTCAAATTAAAACTACACAGAAGCATTCTGAGAAACTTCTGTGGGATGTGTGCATTCAACTCTCAGAGTTGAACCTATCTTATGATTGAGCAGTTTGGAAACACTCTTTTTGTAGAATCTGCAAGTGGATACTTAGAGCGATTTGAGGTCTACTGTGGAAAAGGAAATATCTTCACATAAAAACAACACAGAAGCACTCTGAGAAACTTCTTTGTGATGTGTGAATTCAACTCACAGAGCTGAACCTATCTTTTGATGGAGTAGTTTAGAATCTCTCTTTTTTTAGAATCTGCAAGTGGATATTTGGAGTGCTTTGAGACCTACTATTGGAAAAGCAAATATCTTCACATAAAAACTAGACAGAGGCACTCTAAGAAACTTCTTTTTGATGTGTGCATTCACCTCACAGAGCTGAACCGATCCTTCGAGTGACCAGTTTTGAATCTCTCTTTTTATACAATCTGCAAGTGGATATTTGGAGCCCTTTGCGGCCTATGGTGGAAAAGGAAATATCTTCAAATAAAAACTACACAGAAATACTGTGAGAAACTTCTTTGTTATGTGAGCATTCAACTCACAGAGTTGAACCTATCTTTTGATTGAGCAGTTTTGAATCTCTCATTTTGCAGAATCTGCAAGGGGATATTTGGAGCCCTTTGCGGCCTATGGTGGAAAAGGAAATACCTTCAAATGAAAAGCACACAGAGGCATTCTGAGAAACTTCCTCGTGATTGTGCATTCAACTCACAGAGTTAAACCTATCTTATGATTGACCAGTTTTGGAACACTCTTTTCATAGGATCTGCAAGTGGATATTTGGCGTGCTTTGAGGCCTATCGTGGAAAAGCAAATAACTTCAGATAAAAACTATACAGAAGCATTCTGAGAAACTTCTTTGTGATGTGTGCATTGATCTCACAGAGTTGAAAGTGTATTTTGATTGAGCAGTTTTGAAACACTCTTTTTGTAGAATCTGCAAGTGGATAATTGGGGAGATTTGAGGTATATTGTGGAAAAGCAAGTATCTTCATATAAAAACTATACAGAAGCTTTCTGAGAAACATCTTTGTGAGGTTTGCATTCAACTCACAGAGCTGGAACTATCTTTTGAGTGACCAGTTTTGAATCTCTCTTTTTGTACAATCTGCAAGTGGATATTTGGAGCGTTTTGAGGCCTACATTTGAAAATCAAATATCTTCCCTTAAAAGCTACACAGAAACATTCTCAGAAATTGTTTGTCATGTGTGCTTTCAAATTACCAAGTTGAACCTACCTTGTGATTGAGCAGTTTTGAATCTCTCTTTTTGTGGAATCTGCAAGTGGATATTTTTAGCCATTTGCGGACTGTGGTGGAAAAGGAATTATCTTCAAATCCATTCTACACAGAAGCATTCAGACAAACTTTTTGTGATGAGTGCATTGGTCACACAGAATTGAACCTCTCCTTTGATTGAGCAATTCTGAAACACTCTTTCAGAGGGTCTGCAAGTGGATATTTTAGAGCTTTGGGACAATTGTGGAAAAGTAAATATCTTCACATAGAAACTACACGGAAGCATTCTGAGAAACTTCTTTGGAGGTGTGCATTCAACTCACAGAGTTGAACCTATCTTTTCATTGAGCAGTTTTGAATCTCTCTTTTTGTAGACTCTGCTTGCAGATACTTGGAGAGCTTTGAGGCCTATTGTGGAAAAGGAATCATCTTCACATAAAAACACACAGAAGCACTCTGAGAAACTTCTTTGTGAAGTGTGCATTCAACTCACAGAGTTGAACCTATCTTTTGATTGAGAAGCTTTGAATCTCTCTTTTTGTAGAAGCTGCATGTGGATATTTGGAGACGTTTGTGGCCTATGGTAGAAAAGGCAATATCTTCAAATAAAAACTAGACAGAAGCATTTTGAGAAATTTCTCTGTGCTGTGTGCATTCATATCACATGGTTGAAACTACCTTTTGGTTGAGCAGTTTTGAATCTCTCTTTTTGTAACATCTGCAATGGATATTTGGAGCCCTTTGTGGTCTGTGGTGGAAAAGGAACTATCCTCAAATAAAAACTACACAGAAGTATTCCGAGAAACTTCCTTGTGATGTGTGCATTCATCTCACAGGGTTGAACCTTTGGTTTGATTGAGCAGTTTTGAGACAATCTTTCCATAGAATCTGGAAGTGAATATTTGGAGAACCTTGAGATCTATTTTGGAGAAGGAGATATCTTTATATGAAAACTGCACAGAAGCATTCTGAGAAACATCTTTGTGAGGTGTGCAATGAAGTCACAGAGTTGAAACTATCTTTTGATTCAGCAGTTTTGAGTCTCTCTTTTTGCAGAATCTGCGAGTGGATATCTGGAGAACGTTGAGGCCTACTTGGAAAAGGAAATATCTTCACATAAAAACTACGCAGAAGCATTTTGAGATACTTCTTTGTGAGGTGTGCATTCAACTCACAGAGTTGAACTTATCTTTCCATGGAGCACTTTCATATCTCTTTTTTTGTGGAATCTGCAAGTGGATATTTGGAGCTCTTTGCACCCTGTGGTGGAAAGGGAAATATCTTCATATAAAAACTACAAAGAAGCATTCAGAGAAACTTCTTTGTGATGAATGCATTCCTCACACAGAGTTGAGCCTTTCTTTTTATTGAGCAGTATTGAAACGCTCCTTTTGCAGAATCACCAAGTGGATATTTGGAGAGCTTTGGGGCCTGATTTGGAAAATGAAATATCTTCAAAGTAAAACTACACAGAACCATTCTGAGAAACTTCTTCATGATGTGAGCATTCAACTCTCAGAGTTGAACCTACCTTATGATTGAGCAATTTGGAAACACTCTTTTTGTAGAGCCTGCAAGTGGATATTTAGAACGATTTGAGGCCTATTGTGGAAAAGCAAATATCTTCACATAAAAACTACACAGAAGCATTCTCAGAGACTTCTTTGGGATGTGTGCATTCAACTAACAGTGTTGAACCTATCTTTTGATTGAGCAGCTTAGAATCTCTCCTTTTGTAGAAAATGCAAGTAGAGATTTGGAGCCCCATTTCGCCCTATGGTAGAAAACAGAACATCTTCACATAAAAACTACGCAGAAGCATTCTGAGAATCTTCTTTGTGATGTTTGCATTGAACTCACCAGAGTCGAACCTATCTTTTGATAGAGCAGTTTTGTATCTCTCTTTTTGCAGAATCTGCAAGTGGATATTTGGAAAGCTTGAGGCCTATTGTGAAAAAGGAAATATCTTCACATAGAAACTACAGAGAAGCATTCTGAGAAACTTCTTTGTGAGGCATGGATTCAACCCACAGAGTTGGACTTATCATTGAGCAGTTTTGAATCTCTCTTTTTGTCGAATCTGCAAGTGGATATTTGGAGCCCTTGGCAACCTAGGGTGGAAAAGGAAATACCTTCAAATAAAAACTATATAGAAGCATTCCGTAAAACTTCTTTGTGACGTGTGCATTCGTCTCACAGAGTTGAACCTATCTAATGATTGAGCGGTTTTGAAACACTCATTTTGTAGAACCTGCAAGTGGATATTGGGAGTACTTTGTGGCCTTCTTTGGAAAAGGGAATATCTTCACATAAAAATTACAAAGAAGCATTCTGAGAAACTTCTTTGTGATGTGTGCATTCATCTCACAGTGTTGGACGTTTCTTTTGATAGGGCAGTTTTGAAACACTCTTTTTCTAGAATCTGCAAGTGGATATTTGGAGCGCTTTGAGGCCTAATGTGGAAAATCAAATATCTTCACATAAAAACTACACAGAGGCATTCTGAGAAACTTCTTTTTTGTGTGTGCATTCAACTCACATAGTTGAAGTAATCTTTGGATTTAGCTGTTTTGAATCTCCTTTTTGCAGAATCTGCAAGTTGATACTTGGAGCCCTGTTTCACCCTATAGTGGAAAAGCAAATGTCTTCACATAAACAAACCCTACAGAGAAGCATTCAGAGAAAGTCCTTTGTGATGTGTGCATTGAACATGCAGAGTTGACACTATCTTTTGATTGTACAGTTTTGAATACGTCTTTTTGTAGAATCTGCAAGTGGAAGTTTGGAGCTGTTTGCACCCTGTGGTGTAAAAGGAAATATCTTCATATAAAAGCTACACAGAAGCATTCAGAAAGACTTCTTTGTGATGAATGCGTTCCTCACACAGAGTTGAATCTTCCTTTTTATTGAGTAGTATTGAAACCCTCTTTTTGCAGAATAACCAGGTGGATATTTGGAGAGCTTTGAGGCCTGTTTTGGAAAAGGAAATATCTTCAAATTAAAACCACACAGAAGCATTCTGAGAAACTTCTTTGTGATGTGTGCATTCAACTCTCAGAGTTGAACGTGTCTTATGATGGAGCAGTTTGGAAACACTCTTTTTGTAGAAACTGCAAGTGGATATGTAGAGCGATTTGAGGCCTACTGTGGAAAAGCAAATATCTTCACATAACAACTACACAGAAGCACTCCTAGAAACTTCTTTGTGATGTGTGAATTCAACTCACAGAGCTGAACCTATCTTTTGATGGAGTAGCTTAGAATGTCTCTTTTTTAGAATCTGCACGTGGATATTTGGAGCGCTTTGAGACCTAAAGTGGAAAAGCAAATATCTTCACATAAAATCTACATAGAGGCACTCTAAGAAACTTCTTTTTGATGTGTGCATTCAACTCACAGAGCGGAAGCACACAGTGCTTGAGTGACCAGTTTTGAATCTCTCTTTTTGTACAATCTGCAAGTGGATATTGGGAGCCCTTTGCGGCCTGTGGTGGAAAAGGAAATATCTTCAAATAAAAACTACACAGAAGCATTCTGAGAAACTTCTTTGTGATGTGTACATTCATCTCACAGAGTTGACAATTTCTTTTGATTGAGCAGTTTTGAAACACTGCTTTTGTAGAGTCTGGAAGTTGATATTTGGAGGGCTTTGAGGTCTATTTCGGAAAAGAAAATATCTTCACTTAAAAACTAGGCAGAAATACTGTGAGAAACTTCTTTGTTATGTGAGCATTCAACTCACAGAGCTGAACCTATCTTTTGATTGAGCAGTTTTGAATCTCTCATTTTGCAGAATCTGCAAGGGGATATTTGGAGCCCTTTGCTACCTAGGGTGGAAAAGGAAATACCTCCAAATAAAAACTACACAGAGGCATTCTGAGAAACTTCTTGTGATTGTGCATTCAACTCACAGAGTTAAACCTATCTTATGATTGACCAGTTTTGGAACACTGTTTTCACAGGATCTGCAAGTGGATATTTGGTGTGCTTTGAGGCCTATCGTGGAAAAGCAAGTAACTTCAGATAAAAACTATACAGAAGCATTCTGAGAAACTTCTTTGTGATGTGTGCATTGATCTCACAGAGTTGAAAGTGTATTTTGATTGAGCAGTTTTAAAACACTCCTTCTGTAGAATCTGCAAGTGGATAATTGGAGAGATTTGAGGTATGTTGTGGAAAAGCAAATATCTTCATATAAAAACTATACAGAAGCCTTCTGAGAAACATCTTTGTGAGATTTGCATTCAACTCACAGAGCTGGACCTATCTCTTGAGTGACCAGTTTTGAATCTCTCTTTTTGTTCAATCTGCAAGTGGATATTTGGAGCGATTTGAGGCCTACATTTGAAAATCAAATATCTTCCCTTAAAAACTACACAGAAACATTCTCAGAAATTGTTTGTCATGTGGGCTTTCAAATTACCAAGTTGAACCTATCTTGTGATTGAGCAGTTCTGAATCTCTCTTTTTGTGGAATCTGCAAATGGATATTTTTAGCCCTTTGCGGACTGTGGTGGAAAAGGAATTATCTTCAAATCCATTCTACACAGAAGCATTCAGACAAACTTCTTGGTGATGAGTGCATTGGTCACACAGAATTGAACCTCTCCTTTGATTGAGCAATTCTGAAACACTCTTTCAGAGGGTCTGCAAGTGGATATTTTAGAGCTTTGGGACAATTGTGGAAAAGTAAATATCTTCACATAAAAACTACACGGAAGCATTCTGAGAAACTTCTTTGGAGGTGTGCATTCAACTCACAGAGTTGAACCTATCTTTTCATTGAGCAGTTTTGAATCTCTCTTTTTGTAGACTCTGCTTACAGATATTTGGAGAGCTTTGAGGCCTATTGTGGAAAAGAGAATATGTTCACATAAAAACACACAGAAGCACTCTGAGAAACTTCTTTGTGAGATGTGCATTCAACTCACAGAGTTGAACCTATCTTTTGATGGAGAAGTTTTGAATCTCTCTTTTTGTAGAAGCTGCATGTGGATATTTGGAGACGTTTGTGGCCTATGGTAGAAAAGGAAATATCTTCAAATAAAAACTAGACAGAAGCATTTTGAGAAAGTTCTCTGTTCTGTGTGCATTCATATCACATGGTTGAAACTACCTTTTGATTGAGCAGTTTCGAGTCTCTCTGTTTGTACCATCTGCAATGGATATTTGGAGCCCTTTGTGGTCTGTGGTGGAAAAGGAACTATCCTCAAATAAAAACTACACGGAAGTATTCCGAGAAACTTCCTTGTGATGTGTGCATTCATCTCACAGGGTTGAACCTTTGGTTTGATTGAGCAGTTTTGAGACAATCTTTCCATAGAATCTGGAAGTGAATATTTGGAGAACCTTGAGATCTATTTTGGAGAAGGAGATATCTTTATATGAAAACTGCACAGAAGCATTCTGAGAAACATCTTTGTGAGGTGTGCAATGAAGTCACAGAGTTGAAACTATGTTTTGATTCAGCAGTTTTGAGTCTCTCTTTTTGCAGAATCTGCGAGTGGATATCTGGAGAACTTGGAGGCCTATTTGGAAAAGGAAATATCTTCACATATAAACTATGCAGAAGCATTTTGAGATTCTTCTTTGTGAGGTGTGCATGCAACTCACAGAGTTGAACTTATCTTTTCCTTGAGCACTTTCATATCTCATTTTCTGTAGAATCTGCAAGTGGATATTTGGAGCTCTTTGCACCCTGTGGTGGAAAGGGAACTATCTTCATATAAAAACTACAAAGAAGCATTCAGAGAAACTTCTTGTGATGAATGCATTCCTCACACAGAGCTGAACCTTTCTTTTTATGGAGCAGTATTGAAACGCTCTTTTTGCAGAATCACCAAGTGGATATTTGGAGAGCTTTGGGGCCTGTTTTGGAAAATGAAATATCTTCAAAGTAAAACTACACAGAACCATTCTGAGAAACTTCTTTATGATGTGTGCATTCAACTCTCAGAGTTGAACCTACCTTATGATTGAGCAATTTGGAAACACTCTTTTTGTAGAGCCTGCAAGTGGATATTTAGAACGATTTGAGGCCTATTGTGGAAAAGCAAATATCTTCACATAAAAACTACACAGAAGCATTCTGAGAAACTTCTTTGGCATGTGTGCATTCAACTAACAGTGTTGAACGTATCTTTTGATTGAGCAGCTTAGAATCTCTCTTTTTGTAGAAAATGCAAGTAGATATTTGGAGCCCCATTTTGCCCTATGGTAGAAAACAAAACATCTTCACATAAAATCTACACAGAAGCATTCTGAGAAACTTCTTTGTGATGTTTGCATTGAACTCCCAGAGTCGAACCTATCTTTTGATAGAGCACTTTTGTATCTCTCTTTTTTGCGGAATCTGCAAGTGGATATTTGGAAAGCTTGAGGCCTATTGTGAAAAAGGAAATATCTTCACATAAAAACTACAGAGAAGCATTCTGAGAAACTTCTTTGTGAGGCATGGATTCAACCCACAGAGTTGGACTTATCATTGAGCAGTTTTGAATCTCTCTTTTTGTCGAATCTGCAAGTGGATATTTGGAGCCCTTTGCAACCTAGGGTGGAAAAGGAAATACCTTCAAATAAAAACTATATAGAAGCATTCCGTAAAACTTCTTTGTGACGTGTGCATTCGTCTCACAGAGTTGAACCTATCTAATGATTGAGCGGTTTTGAAACACTCATTTTGTAGAACCTGCAAGTGGATATTGGGAGTACTTTGTGGCCTTCTTTGGAAAAGGGAATATCTTCACATAAAAATTACAAAGAAGCATTCTGAGAAACTTCTTTGTGATGTGTGCATTCATCTCACAGTGTTGGACGTTTCTTTTGATAGGGCAGTTTTGAAACACTCTTTTTCTAGAATCTGCAAGTGGATATTTGGAGCGCTTTGAGGCCTAATGTGGAAAATCAAATATCTTCACATAAAAACTACACAGAGGCATTCTGAGAAACTTCTTTTTTGTGTGTGCATTCAACTCACATAGTTGAAGTAATCTTTGGATTTAGCTGTTTTGAATCTCCTTTTTGCAGAATCTGCAAGTTGATACTTGGAGCCCTGTTTCACCCTATAGTGGAAAAGCAAATATCTTCACATAAACAAACCCTACAGAGAAGCATTCAGAGAAAGTCCTTTGTGATGTGTGCATTGAACATGCAGAGTTGACACTATCTTTTGATTGTACAGTTTTGAATACGTCTTTTTGTAGAATCTGCAAGTGGAAGTTTGGAGCTGTTTGCACCCTGTGGTGTAAAAGGAAATATCTTCATATAAAAGCTACACAGAAGCATTCAGAAAGACTTCTTTGTGATGAATGCGTTCCTCACACAGAGTTGAATCTTCCTTTTTATTGAGTAGTATTGAAACCCTCTTTTTGCAGAATAACCAGGTGGATATTCGGAGAGCTTTGAGGCCTGTTTTGGAAAAGGAAATATCTTCAAATTAAAACCACACAGAAGCATTCTGAGAAGCTTCTTTGTGATGTGTGCATTCAACTCTCAGAGTTCAACGTGTCTTATGATGGAGCAGTTTGGAAACACTCTTTTTTGTAGAAACTGCAAGTGGATATGTAGAGCGATTTGAGGCCTACTGTGGAAAAGCAAATATCTTCACATAACAACTACACAGAAGCACTCCTAGAAACTTCTTTGTGATGTGTGAATTCAACTCACAGAGCTGAACCTATCTTTTGATGGAGTAGCTTAGAATCTCTCTTTTTTTAGAATCTGCACGTGGATATTTGGAGCGCTTTGAGACCTAAAGTGGAAAAGCAAATATCTTCACATAAAATCTACATAGAGGCACTCTAAGAAACTTCTTTTTGATGTGTGCATTCACCTCACAGAGCTGAACCGATCCTTCGAGTGACCAGTTTTGAATCTCTCTTTTTATACAATCTGCAAGTGGATATTTGGAGCCCTTTGCGGCCTATGGTGGAAAAGGAAATATCTTCAAATAAAAACTACACAGAAATACTGTGAGAAACTTCTTTGTTATGTGAGCATTCAACTCACAGACTTGAACCTATCTTTTGATTGAGCAGTTTTGAATCTCTCATTTTGCAGAATCTGCAAGGGGATATTTGGAGCCCTTTGCGGCCTATGGTGGAAAAGGAAATACCTTCAAATGAAAAGCACACAGAGGCATTCTGAGAAACTTCCTCGTGATTGTGCATTCAACTCACAGAGTTAAACCTATCTTATGATTGACCAGTTTTGGAACACTCTTTTCATAGGATCTGCAAGTGGATATTTGGCGTGCTTTGAGGCCTATCGTGGAAAAGCAAATAACTTCAGATAAAAACTATACAGAAGCATTCTGAGAAACTTCTTTGTGATGTGTGCATTGATCTCACAGAGTTGAAAGTGTATTTTGATTGAGCAGTTTTGAAACACTCTTTTTGTAGAATCTGCAAGTGGATAATTGGGGAGATTTGAGGTATATTGTGGAAAAGCAAGTATCTTCATATAAAAACTATACAGAAGCTTTCTGAGAAACATCTTTGTGAGGTTTGCATTCAACTCACAGAGCTGGAACTATCTTTTGAGTGACCAGTTTTGAATCTCTCTTTTTGTACAATCTGCAAGTGGATATTTGGAGCGTTTTGAGGCCTACATTTGAAAATCAAATATCTTCCCTTAAAAGCTACACAGAAACATTCTCAGAAATTGTTTGTCATGTGTGCTTTCAAATTACCAAGTTGAACCTACCTTGTGATTGAGCAGTTTTGAATCTCTCTTTTTGTGGAATCTGCAAGTGGATATTTTTAGCCATTTGCGGACTGTGGTGGAAAAGGAATTATCTTCAAATCCATTCTACACAGAAAGCATTCAGACAAACTTTTTGTGATGAGTGCATTGGTCACACAGAATTGAACCTCTCCTTTGATTGAGCAATTCTGAAGCACTCTTTCAGAGGGTCTGCAAGTGGATATTTTAGAGCTTTGGGACAATTGTGGAAAAGTAAATATCTTCACATAGAAACTACACGGAAGCATTCTGAGAAACTTCTTTGGAGGTGTGCATTCAACTCACAGAGTTGAACCTATCTTTTCATTGAGCAGTTTTGAATCTCTCTTTTTGTAGACTCTGCTTGCAGATATTTGGAGAGCTTTGAGGCCTATTGTGGAAAAGGGAATATGTTCACATAAAAACACACAGAAGCACTCTGAGAAACTTCTTTGTGAAGTGTGCATTCAACTCACAGAGTTGAACCTATCTTTTGATTGAGAAGCTTTGAATCTCTCTTTTTGTAGAAGCTGCATGTGGATATTTGGAGACGTTTGTGGCCTATGGTAGAAAAGGCAATATCTTCAAATAAAAACTAGACAGAAGCATTTTGAGAAATTTCTCTGTGCTGTGTGCATTCATATCACATGGTTGAAACTACCTTTTGATTGAGCAGTTTTGAATCTCTCTTTTTGTACCATCTGCAATGGATATTTGGAGCCCTTTGTGGTCTGTGGTGGAAAAGGAACTATCCTCAAATAAAAACTACACAGAAGTATTCCGAGAAACTTCCTTGTGATGTGTGCATTCATCTCATAAGGTTGAACCTTTGGTTTGATTGAGCAGTTTTGAGACAATCTTTCCATAGAATCTGGAAGTGAATATTTGGAGAACCTTGAGATCTATTTTGGAGAAGGAGATATCTTTATATAAAAACTGCACAGAAGCATTCTGAGAAACATCTTTGTGAGGTGTGCAATGAAGTCACAGAGTTGAAACTATGCTTTGATTCAGCAGTTTTGAGTCTCTCTTTTTGCAGAATCTGCGAGTGGATATCTGGAGAACTTGGAGGCCTATTTGGAAAAGGAAATATCTTCACATATAAACTATGCAGAAGCATTTTGAGATTCTTCTTTGTGAGGTGTGCATTCAACTCACAGAGTTGAACTTATCTTTTCCTTGAGCACTTTCATATCTCATTTTCTGTAGAATCTGCAAGTGGATATTTGGAGCTCTTTGCACCCTGTGGTGGAAAGGGAACTATCTTCATATAAAAACTACAAAGAAGCATTCAGAGAAACTTCTTGTGATGAATGCATTCCTCACACAGAGCTGAACCTTTCTTTTTATGGAGCAGTATTGAAACGCTCTTTTTGCAGAATCACCAAGTGGATATTTGGAGAGCTTTGGGGCCTGTTTTGGAAAATGAAATATCTTCAAAGTAAAACTACACAGAACCATTCTGAGAAACTTCTTTATGATGTGTGCATTCAACTCTCAGAGTTGAACCTACCTTATGATTGAGCAATTTGGAAACACTCTTTTTGTAGAGCCTGCAAGTGGATATTTAGAACGATTTGAGGCCTATTGTGGAAAAGCAAATATCTTCACATAAAAACTACACAGAAGCATTCTGAGAAACTTCTTTGGCATGTGTGCATTCAACTAACAGTGTTGAACGTATCTTTTGATTGAGCAGCTTAGAATCTCTCTTTTTGTAGAAAATGCAAGTAGATATTTGGAGCCCCATTTTGCCCTATGGTAGAAAACAAAACATCTTCACATAAAATCTACACAGAAGCATTCTGAGAAACTTCTTTGTGATGTTTGCATTGAACTCCCAGAGTCGAACCTATCTTTTGATAGAGCACTTTTGTATCTCTCTTTTTGCGGAATCTGCAAGTGGATATTTGGAAAGCTTGAGGCCTATTGTGAAAAAGGAAATATCTTCACATAAAAACTACAGAGAAGCATTCTGAGAAACTTCTTTGTGAGGCATGGATTCAACCCACAGAGTTGGACTTATCATTGAGCAGTTTTGAATCTCTCTTTTTGTCGAATCTGCAAGTGGATATTTGGAGCCCTTTGCAACCTAGGGTGGAAAAGGAAATACCTTCAAATAAAAACTATATAGAGGCATTCCGTAAAACTTCTTTGTGATGTGTGCATTCGTCTCACAGAGTTGAACCTATCTAATGATTGAGCGGTTTTGAAACACTCATTTTGTAGAACCTGCAAGTGGATATTGGGAGTACTTTGTGGCCTTCTTTGGAAAAGGGAATATCTTCACATAAAAACTACAAAGAAGCATTCTGAGAAACTTCTTTGTGATGTGTGCATTCATCTCACAGTGTTGGACGTTTCTTTTGATAGGGCAGTTTTGAAACACTCTTTTTCTAGAATCTGCAAGTGGATATTTGGAGCGCTTTGAGGCCTAATGTGGAAAATCAAATATCTTCACATAAAAACTACACAGAGGCATTCTGAGAAACTTCTTTTTTTGTGTGTGCATTCAACTCACATAGTTGAAGTAATCTTTGGATTTAGCTGTTTTGAATCTCCTTTTTGCAGAATCTGCAAGTTGATACTTGGAGCCCTGTTTCACCCTATAGTGGAAAAGCAAATATCTTCACATAAACAAACCCTACAGAGAAGCATTCAGAGAAAGTCCTTTGTGATGTGTGCATTGAACATGCAGAGTTGACACTATCTTTTGATTGTACAGTTTTGAATACGTCTTTTTGTAGAATCTGCAAGTGGAAGTTTGGAGCTGTTTGCACCCTGTGGTGTAAAAGGAAATATCTTCATATAAAAGCTACACAGAAGCATTCAGAAAGACTTCTTTGTGATGAATGCGTTCCTCACACAGAGTTGAATCTTCCTTTTTATTGAGTAGTATTGAAACCCTCTTTTTGCAGAATAACCAGGTGGATATTTGGAGAGCTTTGAGGCCTGTTTTGGAAAAGGAAATATCTTCAAATTAAAACCACACAGAAGCATTCTGAGAAACTTCTTTGTGATGTGTGCATTCAACTCTCAGAGTTGAACGTGTCTTATGATGGAGCAGTTTGGAAACACTCTTTTTGTAGAAACTGCAAGTGGATATGTAGAGCGATTTGAGGCCTACTGTGGAAAAGCAAATATCTTCACATAACAACTACACAGAAGCACTCCTAGAAACTTCTTTGTGATGTGTGAATTCAACTCACAGAGCTGAACCTATCTTTTGATGGAGTAGCTTAGAATCTCTCTTTTTTTAGAATCTGCACGTGGATATTTGGAGCGCTTTGAGACCTAAAGTGGAAAAGCAAATATCTTCACATAAAATCTACATAGAGGCACTCTAAGAAACTTCTTTTTGATGTGTGCATTCACCTCACAGAGCTGAACCGATCCTTCGAGTGACCAGTTTTGAATCTCTCTTTTTATACAATCTGCAAGTGGATATTTGGAGCCCTTTGCGGCCTATGGTGGAAAAGGAAATATCTTCAAATAAAAACTACACAGAAATACTGTGAGAAACTTCTTTGTTATGTGAGCATTCAACTCACAGAGTTGAACCTATCTTTTGATTGAGCAGTTTTGAATCTCTCATTTTGCAGAATCTGCAAGGGGATATTTGGAGCCCTTTGCGGCCTATGGTGGAAAAGGAAATACCTTCAAATGAAAAGCACACAGAGGCATTCTGAGAAACTTCCTCGTGATTGTGCATTCAACTCACAGAGTTAAACCTATCTTATGATTGACCAGTTTTGGAACACTCTTTTCATAGGATCTGCAAGTGGATATTTGGCGTGCTTTGAGGCCTATCGTGGAAAAGCAAATAACTTCAGATAAAAACTATACAGAAGCATTCTGAGAAACTTCTTTGTGATGTGTGCATTGATCTCACAGAGTTGAAAGTGTATTTTGATTGAGCAGTTTTGAAACACTCTTTTTGTAGAATCTGCAAGTGGATAATTGGGGAGATTTGAGGTATATTGTGGAAAAGCAAGTATCTTCATATAAAAACTATACAGAAGCTTTCTGAGAAACATCTTTGTGAGGTTTGCATTCAACTCACAGAGCTGGAACTATCTTTTGAGTGACCAGTTTTGAATCTCTCTTTTTGTACAATCTGCAAGTGGATATTTGGAGCGTTTTGAGGCCTACATTTGAAAATCAAATATCTTCCCTTAAAAGCTACACAGAAACATTCTCAGAAATTGTTTGTCATGTGTGCTTTCAAATTACCAAGTTGAACCTACCTTGTGATTGAGCAGTTTTGAATCTCTCTTTTTGTGGAATCTGCAAGTGGATATTTTTAGCCATTTGCGGACTGTGGTGGAAAAGGAATTATCTTCAAATCCATTCTACACAGAAGCATTCAGACAAACTTTTTGTGATGAGTGCATTGGTCACACAGAATTGAACCTCTCCTTTGATTGAGCAATTCTGAAACACTCTTTCAGAGGGTCTGCAAGTGGATATTTTAGAGCTTTGGGACAATTGTGGAAAAGTAAATATCTTCACATAGAAACTACACGGAAGCATTCTGAGAAACTTCTTTGGAGGTGTGCATTCAACTCACAGAGTTGAACCTATCTTTTCATTGAGCAGTTTTGAATCTCTCTTTTTGTAGACTCTGCTTGCAGATACTTGGAGAGCTTTGAGGCCTATTGTGGAAAAGGAATCATCTTCACATAAAAACACACAGAAAGCACTCTGAGAAACTTCTTTGTGAAGTGTGCATTCAACTCACAGAGTTGAACCTATCTTTTGATTGAGAAGCTTTGAATCTCTCTTTTTGTAGAAGCTGCATGTGGATATTTGGAGACGTTTGTGGCCTATGGTAGAAAAGGCAATATCTTCAAATAAAAACTAGACAGAGCATTTTGAGAAAATTCTCTGTGCTGTGTGCATTCATATCACATGGTTGAAACTACCTTTTGATTGAGCAGTTTCGAGTCTCTCTGTTTGTACCATCTGCAATGGATATTTGGAGCCCTTTGTGGTCTGTGGTGGAAAAGGAACTATCCTCAAATAAAAACTACACGGAAAGTATTCTGAGAAACTTCTTTGTGATGTGTGCATTTATCTCACAGAGTTGAACCTTTGGTTTGATTGAGCAGTTTTGAGATAATCTTTCCATAGAATCTGGAAGTGAATACTTGGATAACTTTGAGATCTATTTTGGAGAAGGAGATATCTTTATATAAAAACTGCACAGAAGCATTCTGAGAAACATCTTTGTGAGGTGTGCAATGAAGTCACAGAGTTGAAACTATCTTTTGATTCAGCAGTTTTGAGTCTCTCTTTTTGCAGAATCTGCGAGTGGATATCTGGAGAAGGTTGAGGCCTACTTGGAAAAGGAAATATCTTCACATAAAAACTACGCAGAAGCATTTTGAGATACTTCTTTGTGAGGTGTGCATTCAACTCACAGAGTTGAACTTATCTTTCCATGGAGCACTTTCATATCTCTTTTTTTGTGGAATCTGCAAGTGGATATTTGGAGCTCTTTGCACCCTGTGGTGGAAAGGGAAATATCTTCATATAAAAACTACAAAGAAGCATTCAGAGAAACTTCTTTGTGATGAATGCATTCCTCACACAGAGTTGAGCCTTTCTTTTTATTGAGCAGTATTGAAACGCTCCTTTTGCAGAATCACCAAGTGGATATTTGGAGAGCTTTGGGGCCTGATTTGGAAAATGAAATATCTTCAAAGTAAAACTACACAGAACCATTCTGAGAAACTTCTTCATGATGTGAGCATTCAACTCTCAGAGTTGAAGCTACCTTATGATTGAGCAATTTGGAAACACTCTTTTTGTAGAGCCTGCAAGTGGATATTTAGAACGATTTGAGGCCTATTGTGGAAAAGCAAATATCTTCACATAAAAACTACACAGAAGCATTCTCAGAAACTTCTTTGGGATGTGTGCATTCAACTAACAGTGTTGAACCTATCTTTTGATTGAGCAGCTTAGAATCTCTCCTTTTGTAGAAAATGCAAGTAGAGATTTGGAGCCCCATTTCGCCCTATGGTAGAAAACAGAACATCTTCACATAAAAACTACGCAGAAGCATTCTGAGAAACTTCTTTGTGATGTTTGCATTGAACTCCCAGAGTCGAACCTATCTTTTGATAGAGCAGTTTTGTATCTCTCTTTTTGCAGAATCTGCAAGTGGATATTTGGAAAGCTTGAGGCCTATTGTGAAAAAGGAAATATCTTCACATAGAAACTACAGAGAAGCATTCTGAGAAACTTCTCTGTGAGGCATGGATTCAACCCACAGAGTTGGACTTACCATTGAGCAGTTTTGAATCTCTCTTTTGGTCGAATCTGCAAGTGGGTATTTGGAGCCCTTTTGCAACCTATGGCGGAAAAGGAAACACCTTCACCTAAAAACTATATAGAAGCATTCCGAAAAACTTCTTTGTGATGTGTGCATTCATCTCACAGAGTTGAACCTATCTAATGATTGAGCAGTTTTGAAACACTCATTTTGTAGAACCTGGAAGTGGATATTGGGAGTAGTTTGTGGCCTTCTTTGGAAAAGGAAATATCTTCACATGAAAACTACAAAGAAGCATTCTGAGAAACTTCTTTGTGATGTGTGCATGCATCTCACAGTGTTGGACGTTTCTTTTGATAGGGCAGTTTCGAAAGAGTCTTCTTGTAGAGTCTGCAAGTGGATATTTGGAGCGCTTTGAGGCCTAATGTGGAAAATCAAATATCTTCACATAAAAACTACACAGAGGCATTCTGAGAAACTTCTTTTTTGTGTGTGCATTCAACTCACATAGTTGAAGTTATCTTTCGATTTAGCTGTTTTGAATCTCCTTTTTGCAGAATCTTGCAAGTTGATACCTGGAGCCCTGTTTCACCCTATAGTGGAAAAGCAAATATCTTCACATAAACAAACACTACAGAGAAGCATTCAGAGAAAGTCCTTTGTGATGTGTGCATTGAACACGCAGAGTTGAAACTATCTTTTGATTGTACAGTTTTGAATATCTCTTTTTGTAGAATCTGCAAGTGGAAGTTTGGAGCTGTTTGCACGCTGTGGTGCAAAAGGAAATATCTTCATATAAAAACTACACAGAAGCTTTCAGAGAGACTTCTTTGTGAGGAATGCGTTCCTCACACAGAGTTGAATCTACCTTTTTATTGAGTAGTTTTGAAACCCTCTTTTTGCAGAATAACCAGGGGGATATTTGGAGAGCTTTGAGGCCTGTTTTGGAAAAGGAAATATCTTCAAATTAAAACCACACAGAAGCATTCTGAGAAGCTTCTTTGTGATGTGTGCATTCAACTCTCAGAGTTCAACGTGTCTTATGATGGAGCAGTTTGGAAACACTCTTTTTGTAGAAACTGCAAGTGGATATGTAGAGCGATTTGAGGCCTACTGTGGAAAAGCAAATATCTTCACATAACAACTACACAGAAGCACTCCTAGAAACTTCTTTGTGATGTGTGAATTCAACTCACAGAGCTGAACCTATCTTTTGATGGAGTAGCTTAGAATCTCTCTTTTTTTAGAATCTGCACGTGGATATTTGGAGCGCTTTGAGACCTAAAGTGGAAAAGCAAATATCTTCACATAAAATCTACATAGAGGCACTCTAAGAAACTTCTTTTTGATGTGTGCATTCAACTCACAGAGCGGAAGCACACAGTGCTTGAGTGACCAGTTTTGAATCTCTCTTTTTGTACAATCTGCAAGTGGATATTGGGAGCCCTTTGCGGCCTGTGGTGGAAAAGGAAATATCTTCAAATAAAAACTACACAGAAGCATTCTGAGAAACTTCTTTGTGATGTGTACATTCATCTCACAGAGTTGACAATTTCTTTTGATTGAGCAGTTTTGAAACACTGCTTTTGTAGAGTCTGGAAGTTGATATTTGGAGGGCTTTGAGGTCTATTTCGGAAAAGAAAATATCTTCACTTAAAAACTAGGCAGAAATACTGTGAGAAACTTCTTTGTTATGTGAGCATTCAACTCACAGAGCTGAACCTATCTTTTGATTGAGCAGTTTTGAATCTCTCATTTTGCAGAATCTGCAAGGGGATATTTGGAGCCCTTTTGCTACCTAGGGTGGAAAAGGAAATACCTCCAAATAAAAACTACACAGAGGCATTCTGAGAAACTTCCTCGTGATTGTGCATTCAACTCACAGAGTTAAACCTATCTTATGATTGACCAGTTTTGGAACACTCTTTTCATAGGATCTGCAAGTGGATATTTGGCGTGCTTTGAGGCCTATCGTGGAAAAGCAAATAACTTCAGATAAAAACTATACAGAAAGCATTCTGAGAAACTTCTTTGTGATGTGTGCATTGATCTCACAGAGTTGAAAGTGTATTTTGATTGAGCAGTTTTGAAACACTCTTTTTGTAGAATCTGCAAGTGGATAATTGGGGAGATTTGAGGTATATTGTGGAAAAGCAAGTATCTTCATATAAAAACTATACAGAGCTTTCTGAGAAACATCTTTGTGAGGTTTGCATTCAACTCACAGAGCTGGAACTATCTTTTGAGTGACCAGTTTTGAATCTCTCTTTTTGTACAATCTGCAAGTGGATATTTGGAGCGTTTTGAGGCCTACATTTGAAAATCAAATATCTTCCCTTAAAAGCTACACAGAAACATTCTCAGAAATTGTTTGTCATGTGTGCTTTCAAATTACCAAGTTGAACCTACCTTGTGATTGAGCAGTTTTGAATCTCTCTTTTTGTGGAATCTGCAAGTGGATATTTTTAGCCATTTGCGGACTGTGGTGGGAAAGGAATTATCTTCAAATCCATTCTACACAGAAGCATTCAGACAAACTTTTTGTGATGAGTGCATTGGTCACACAGAATTGAACCTCTCCTTTGATTGAGCAATTCTGAAACACTCTTTCAGAGGGTCTGCAAGTGGATATTTTAGAGCTTTGGGACAATTGTGGAAAAGTAAATATCTTCACATAAAAACTACACGGAAGCATTCTGAGAAACTTCTTTGGAGGTGTGCATTCAACTCACAGAGTTGAACCTATCTTTTCATTGAGCAGTTTTGAATCTCTCTTTTTGTAGACTCTGCTTGCAGATATTTGGAGAGCTTTGAGGCCTATTGTGGAAAAGGGATCATCTTCACATAAAAACACACAGAAGCACTCTGAGAAACTTCTTTGTGAAGTGTGCATTCAACTCACAGAGTTGAACCTATCTTTTGATTGAGAAGCTTTGAATCTCTCTTTTTGTAGAAGCTGCATGTGGATATTTGGAGACGTTTGTGGCCTATGGTAGAAAAGGCAATATCTTCAAATAAAAACTAGACAGAAGCATTTTGAGAAATTTCTCTGTGCTGTGTGCATTCATATCACATGGTTGAAACTACCTTTTGATTGAGCAGTTTTGAATCTCTCTTTTTGTACCATCTGCAATGGATATTTGGAGCCCTTTGTGGTCTGTGGTGGAAAAGGAACTATCCTCAAATAAAAACTACACAGAAGTATTCCGAGAAACTTCCTTGTGATGTGTGCATTCATCTCATACGGTTGAACCTTTGGTTTGATTGAGCAGTTTTGAGACAATCTTTCCATAGAATCTGGAAGTGAATATTTGGAGAACCTTGAGATCTATTTTGGAGAAGGAGATATCTTTATATAAAAACTGCACAGAAGCATTCTGAGAAACATGTTTGTGAGGTGTGCAATGAAGTCACAGAGTTGAAACTACCTTTTGATTCAGCAGTTTTGAGTCACTCTTTTTGCAGAATCTGCGAGTGGATATCTGGAGAACTTTGAGGCCTATTTGGAAAAGGAAATATCTTCACATAAAAACTACGCAGAAGCATTTTGAGATTCTTCTTTGTGAGGTGTGCATGCAACTCACAGAGTTGAACTTATCTTTTCCTTGAGCACTTTCATATCTCATTTTCTGTAGAATCTGCAAGTGGATATTTGGAGCTCTTTGCACCCTGTGGTGGAAAGGGAACTATCTTCATATAAAAACTACAAAGAAGCATTCAGAGAAACTTCTTGTGATGAATGCATTCCTCACACAGAGCTGAACCTTTCTTTTTATGGAGCAGTATTGAAACGCTCTTTTTGCAGAATCACCAAGTGGATATTTGGAGAGCTTTGGGGCCTGTTTTGGAAAATGAAATATCTTCAAAGTAAAACTACACAGAACCATTCTGAGAAACTTCTTTATGATGTGTGCATTCAACTCTCAGAGTTGAACCTACCTTATGATTGAGCAATTTGGAAACACTCTTTTTGTAGAGCCTGCAAGTGGATATTTAGAACGATTTGAGGCCTATTGTGGAAAAGCAAATATCTTCACATAAAAACTACACAGAAGCATTCTGAGAAACTTCTTTGGCATGTGTGCATTCAACTAACAGTGTTGAACGTATCTTTTGATTGAGCAGCTTAGAATCTCTCTTTTTGTAGAAAATGCAAGTAGATATTTGGAGCCCCATTTTGCCCTATGGTAGAAAACAAAACATCTTCACATAAAATCTACACAGAAGCATTCTGAGAAACTTCTTTGTGATGTTTGCATTGAACTCCCAGAGTCGAACCTATCTTTTGATAGAGCAGTTTTGTATCTCTCTTTTTGCAGAATCTGCAAGTGGATATTTGGAAAGCTTGAGGCCTATTGTGAAAAAGGAAATATCTTCACATAGAAACTACAGAGAAGCATTCTGAGAAACTTCTCTGTGAGGCATGGATTCAACCCACAGAGTTGGACTTATCATTGAGCAGTTTTGAATCTCTCTTTTGGTCGAATCTGCAAGTGGATATTTGGAGCCCTTTTGCAACCTATGGTGGAAAAGGAAACACCTTCACATAAAAACTATATAGAAGCATTCCGAAAAACTTCTTTGTGATGTGTGCATTCATCTCACAGAGTTGAACCTATCTAATGATTGAGCAGTTTTGAAACACTCATTTTGTAGAACCTGGAAGTGGATATTGGGAGTAGTTTGTGGCCTTCTTTGGAAAAGGAAATATCTTCACATGAAAACTACAAAGAAGCATTCTGAGAAACTTCTTTGTGATGTGTGCATGCATCTCACAGTGTTGGACGTTTCTTTTGATGGGGCAGTTTCGAAAGAGTCTTCTTGTAGAGTCTGCAAGTGGATATTTGGAGCGCTTTGAGGCCTAATGTGGAAAATCAAATATCTTCACATAAAAACTACACAGAGGCATTCTGAGAAACTTCTTTTTTGTGTGTGCATTCAACTCACATAGTTGAAGTTATCTTTCGATTTAGCTGTTTTGAATCTCCTTTTTGCAGAATCTGCAAGTTGATACCTGGAGCCCTGTTTCACCCTATAGTGGAAAAGCAAATATCTTCACATAAACAAACACTACAGAGAAGCATTCAGAGAAAGTCCTTTGTGATGTGTGCATTGAACACGCAGAGTTGAAACTATCTTTTGATTGTACAGTTTTGAATATCTCTTTTTGTAGAATCTGCAAGTGGAAGTTTGGAGCTGTTTGCACGCTGTGGTGCAAAAGGAAATATCTTCATATAAAAACTACACAGAAGCTTTCAGAGAGACTTCTTTGTGAGGAATGCGTTCCTCACACAGAGTTGAATCTTCCTTTTTATTGAGTAGTTTTGAAACCCTCTTTTTGCAGAATAACCAGGGGGATATTTGGAGAGCTTTGAGGCCTGTTTTGGAAAAGGAAATATCTTCAAATTAAAACCACACAGAAGCATTCTGAGAAACTTCTTTGTGATGTGTGCATTCAACTCTCAGAGTTCAACGTGTCTTATGATGGAGCAGTTTGGAAACACTCTTTTTTGTAGAAACTGCAAGTGGATATGTAGAGCGATTTGAGGCCTACTGTGGAAAAGCAAATATCTTCACATAACGACTACACAGAAGCACTCCTAGAAACTTCTTTGTGATGTGTGAATTCAACTCACAGAGCTGAACCTATCTTTTGATGGAGTAGCTTAGAATCTCTCTTTTTTTAGAATCTGCACGTGGATATTTGGAGCGCTTTGAGACCTAAAGTGGAAAAGCAAATATCTTCACATAAAATCTACATAGAGGCACTCTAAGAAACTTCTTTTTGATGTGTGCATTCAACTCACAGAGCTGAAGCACACAGTGCTTGAGTGACCAGTTTTGAATCTCTCTTTTTGTACAATCTGCAAGTGGATATTGGGAGCCCTTTGCGGCCTGTGGTGGAAAAGGAAATATCTTCAAATAAAAACTACACAGAAGCATTCTGAGAAACTTCTTTGTGATGTGTACATTCATCTCACAGAGTTGACAATTTCTTTTGATTGAGCAGTTTTGAAACACTGCTTTTGTAGAGTCTGGAAGTTGATATTTGGAGGGCTTTGAGGTCTATTTCGGAAAAGAAAATATCTTCACTTAAAAACTACGCAGAGGCATTCTGAGAAACTTCTTTTTTGTGTGTGCATTCAACTCACATAGTTGAAGTAATCTTTGGATTTAGCTGTTTTGAATCTCCTTTTTGCAGAATCTGCAAGTTGATACTTGGAGCCCTGTTTCACCCTATAGTGGAAAAGCAAATGTCTTCACATAAACAAACCCTACAGAGAAGCATTCAGAGAAAGTCCTTTGTGATGTGTGCATTGAACATGCACAGTTGACACTATCTTTTGATTGTACAGTTTTGAATACGTCTTTTTGTAGAATCTGCAAGTGGAAGTTTGGAGCTGTTTGCACCCTGTGGTGTAAAAGGAAATATCTTCATATAAAAGCTACACAGAAGCATTCAGAAAGACTTCTTTGTGATGAATGCGTTCCTCACACAGAGTTGAATCTTCCTTTTTATTGAGTAGTATTGAAACCCTCTTTTTGCAGAATAACCAGGTGGATATTTGGAGAGCTTTGAGGCCTGTTTTGGAAAAGCAAATATCTTCAAATTAAAACCACACAGAAGCATTCTGAGAAGCTTCTTTGTGATGTGTGCATTCAACTCTCAGAGTTCAACGTGTCTTATGATGGAGCAGTTTGGAAACACTCTTTTTTGTAGAAACTGCAAGTGGATATGTAGAGCGATTTGAGGCCTACTGTGGAAAAGCAAATATCTTCACATAACAACTACACAGAAGCACTCCTAGAAACTTCTTTGTGATGTGTGAATTCAACTCACAGAGCTGAACCTATCTTTTGATGGAGTAGCTTAGAATCTCTCTTTTTTTAGAATCTGCACGTGGATATTTGGAGCGCTTTGAGACCTAAAGTGGAAAAGCAAATATCTTCACATAAAATCTACATAGAGGCACTCTAAGAAACTTCTTTTTGATGTGTGCATTCACCTCACAGAGCTGAACCGATCCTTCGAGTGACCAGTTTTGAATCTCTCTTTTTATACAATCTGCAAGTGGATATTTGGAGCCCTTTGCGGCCTATGGTGGAAAAGGAAATATCTTCAAATAAAAACTACACAGAAATACTGTGAGAAACTTCTTTGTTATGTGAGCATTCAACTCACAGAGTTGAACCTATCTTTTGATTGAGCAGTTTTGAATCTCTCATTTTGCAGAATCTGCAAGGGGATATTTGGAGCCCTTTGCGGCCTATGGTGGAAAAGGAAATACCTTCAAATGAAAAGCACACAGAGGCATTCTGAGAAACTTCCTCGTGATTGTGCATTCAACTCACAGAGTTAAACCTATCTTATGATTGACCAGTTTTGGAACACTCTTTTCATAGGATCTGCAAGTGGATATTTGGCGTGCTTTGAGGCCTATCGTGGAAAAGCAAATAACTTCAGATAAAAACTATACAGAAGCATTCTGAGAAACTTCTTTGTGATGTGTGCATTGATCTCACAGAGTTGAAAGTGTATTTTGATTGAGCAGTTTTGAAACACTCTTTTTGTAGAATCTGCAAGTGGATAATTGGGGAGATTTGAGGTATATTGTGGAAAAGCAAGTATCTTCATATAAAAACTATACAGAAGCTTTCTGAGAAACATCTTTGTGAGGTTTGCATTCAACTCACAGAGCTGGAACTATCTTTTGAGTGACCAGTTTTGAATCTCTCTTTTTGTACAATCTGCAAGTGGATATTTGGAGCGTTTTGAGGCCTACATTTGAAAATCAAATATCTTCCCTTAAAAGCTACACAGAAACATTCTCAGAAATTGTTTGTCATGTGTGCTTTCAAATTACCAAGTTGAACCTACCTTGTGATTGAGCAGTTTTGAATCTCTCTTTTTGTGGAATCTGCAAGTGGATATTTTTAGCCATTTGCGGACTGTGGTGGAAAAGGAATTATACTTCAAATCCATTCTACACAGAAGCATTCAGACAAACTTTTTGTGATGAGTGCATTGGTCACACAGAATTGAACCTCTCCTTTGATTGAGCAATTCTGAAACACTCTTTCAGAGGGTCTGCAAGTGGATATTTTAGAGCTTTGGGACAATTGTGGAAAAGTAAATATCTTCACATAGAAACTACACGGAAGCATTCTGAGAAACTTCTTTGGAGGTGTGCATTCAACTCACAGAGTTGAACCTATCTTTTCATTGAGCAGTTTTGAATCTCTCTTTTTGTAGACTCTGCTTGCAGATATTTGGAGAGCTTTGAGGCCTATTGTGGAAAAGGGATCATCTTCACATAAAAAGACACAGAAGCACTCTGAGAAACTTCTTTGTGAAGTGTGCATTCAACTCACAGAGTTGAACCTATCTTTTGATTGAGAAGCGTTGAATCTCTCTTTTTGTAGAAGCTGCATGTGGATATTTGGAGACGTTTGTGGCCTATGGTAGAAAAGGCAATATCTTCAAATAAAAACTAGACAGAAGCATTTTGAGAAATTTCTCTGTGCTGTGTGCATTCATATCACATGGTTGAAACTACCTTTTGATTGAGCAGTTTTGAATCTCTCTTTTTGTACCATCTGCAATGGATATTTGGAGCCCTTTGTGGTCTGTGGTGGAAAAGGAACTATCCTCAAATAAAAACTACACAGAAGTATTCCGAGAAACTTCCTTGTGATGTGTGCATTCATCTCATAGGGTTGAACCTTTGGTTTGATTGAGCAGTTTTGAGACAATCTTTCCATAGAATCTGGAAGTGAATATTTGGAGAACCTTGAGATCTATTTTGGAGAAGGAGATATCTTTATATAAAAACTGCACAGAAGCATTCTGAGAAACATCTTTGTGAGGTGTGCAATGAAGTCACAGAGTTGAAACTATGTTTTGATTCAGCAGTTTTGAGTCTCTCTTTTTGCAGAATCTGCGAGTGGATATCTGGAGAACTTGGAGGCCTATTTGGAAAAGGAAATATCTTCACATATAAACTATGCAGAAGCATTTTGAGATTCTTCTTTGTGAGGTGTGCATGCAACTCACAGAGTTGAACTTATCTTTTCCTTGAGCACTTTCGTATCTCATTTTCTGTAGAATCTGCAAGTGGATATTTGGAGCTCTTTGCACCCTGTGGTGGAAAGGGAACTATCTTCATATAAAAACTACAAAGAAGCATTCAGAGAAACTTCTTTGTGATGAATGCATTCCTCACACAGAGCTGAACGTTTCTTTTTATTGAGCAGTATTGAAACGCTCTTTTTGCAGAATCACCAAGTGGATATTTGGAGAGCTTTGGGGCCTGTTTTGGAAAATGAAATATCTTCAAAGTAAAACTACACAGAACCATTCTGAGAAACTTCTTTATGATGTGTGCATTCAACTCTCAGAGTTGAACCTACCTTATGATTGACCAATTTGGAAACACTCTTTTTGTAGAGCCTGCAAGTGGATATTTAGAACGATTTGAGGCCTATTGTGGAAAAGCAAATATCTTCACATAAAAACTACACAGAAGCATTCTGAGAAACTTCTTTGGCATGTGTGCATTCAACTAACAGTGTTGAACGTATCTTTTGATTGAGCAGCTTAGAATCTCTCTTTTTGTAGAAAATGCAAGTAGATATTTGGAGCCCCATTTTGCCCTATGGTAGAAAACAAAACATCTTCACATAAAATCTACACAGAAGCATTCTGAGAAACTTCTTTGTGATGTTTGCATTGAACTCCCAGAGTCGAACCTATCTTTTGATAGAGCACTTTTGTATCTCTCTTTTTGCGGAATCTGCAAGTGGATATTTGGAAAGCTTGAGGCCTATTGTGAAAAAGGAAATATCTTCACATAAAAACTACAGAGAAGCATTCTGAGAAACTTCTTTGTGAGGCATGGATTCAACCCACAGAGTTGGACTTATCATTGAGCAGTTTTGAATCTCTCTTTTTGTCGAATCTGCAAGTGGATATTTGGAGCCCTTTGTAACCTAGGGTGGAAAAGGAAATACCTTCAAATAAAAACTATATAGAAGCATTCCGAAAAACTTCTTTGTGATGTGTGCATTCATCTCACAGAGTTGAACCTATCTAATGATTGAGCAGTTTTGAAACACTCATTTTGTAGAACCTGGAAGTGGATATTGGGAGTAGTTTGTGGCCTTCTTTGGAAAAGGAAATATCTTCACATGAAAACTACAAAGAAGCATTCTGAGAAACTTCTTTGTGATGTGTGCATGCATCTCACAGTGTTGGACGTTTCTTTTGATGGGGCAGTTTCGAAAGAGTCTTCTTGTAGAGTCTGCAAGTGGATATTTGGAGCGCTTTGAGGCCTAATGTGGAAAATCAAATATCTTCACATAAAAACTACACAGAGGCATTCTGAGAAACTTCTTTTTTGTGTGTGCATTCAACTCACATAGTTGAAGTTATCTTTCGATTTAGCTGTTTTGAATCTCCTTTTTGCAGAATCTGCAAGTTGATACCTGGAGCCCTGTTTCACCCTATAGTGGAAAAGCAAATCTCTTCACATAAACAAACACTACAGAGAAGCATTCAGAGTAAAGTCCTTTGTGATGTGTGCATTGAACACGCAGAGTTGAAACTATCTTTTGATTGTACAGTTTTGAATATCTCTTTTTGTAGAATCTGCAAGTGGAAGTTTGGAGCTGTTTGCACGCTGTGGTGCAAAAGGAAATATCTTCATATAAAAACTACACAGAAGCTTTCAGAGAGACTTCTTTGTGAGGAATGCGTTCCTCACACAGAGTTGAATCTACCTTTTTATTGAGTAGTTTTGAAACCCTCTTTTTGCAGAATAACCAGGGGGATATTTGGAGAGCTTTGAGGCCTGTTTTGGAAAAGGAAATATCTTCAAATTAAAACCACACAGACGCATTCTGAGAAACTTCTTTGTGATGTGTGCATTCAACTCTCAGAGTTGAACGTGTCTTATGATGGAGCAGTTTGGAAACACTCTTTTTGTAGAAACTGCAAGTGGATATGTAGAGCGATTTGAGGCCTACTGTGGAAAAGCAAATATCTTCACATAACAACTACACAGAAGCACTCCTAGAAACTTCTTTGTGATGTGTGAATTCAACTCACAGAGCTGAACCTATCTTTTGATGGAGTAGCTTAGAATGTCTCTTTTTTTAGAATCTGCACGTGGATATTTGGAGCGCTTTGAGACCTAAAGTGGAAAAGCAAATATCTTCACATAAAATCTACATAGAGGCACTCTAAGAAACTTCTTTTTGATGTGTGCATTCAACTCACAGAGCGGAAGCACACAGTGCTTGAGTGACCAGTTTTGAATCTCTCTTTTTGTACAATCTGCAAGTGGATATTGGGAGCCCTTTGCGGCCTGTGGTGGAAAAGGAAATATCTTCAAATAAAAACTACACAGAAATACTGTGAGAAACTTCTTTGTTATGTGAGCATTCAACTCACAGAGCTGAACCTATCTTTTGATTCAGCAGTTTTGAATCTCTCATTTTGCAGAATCTGCAAGAGGATATTTGGAGCCCTTTGCTACCTATGGTGGAAAAGGAAATACCTCCAAATAAAAACTACACAGAGGCATTCTGAGAAACTTCTTGTGATTGTGCATTCAACTCACAGAGTTAAACCTATCTTATGATTGACCAGTTTTGGAACACTGTTTTCACAGGATCTGCAAGTGGATATTTGGTGTGCTTTGAGGCCTATCGTGGAAAAGCAAGTAACTTCAGATAAAAACTATACAGAAGCATTCTGAGAAACTTCTTTGTGATGTGTGCATTGATCTCACAGAGTTGAAAGTGTATTTTGATTGAGCAGTTTTAAAACACTCCTTCTGTAGAATCTGCAAGTGGATAATTGGAGAGATTTGAGGTATGTTGTGGAAAAGCAAATATCTTCATATAAAAACTATACAGAAGCCTTCTGAGAAACATCTTTGTGAGGTTTGCATTCAACTCACAGAGCTGGACCTATCTCTTGAGTGACCAGTTTTGAATCTCTCTTTTTGTTCAATCTGCAAGTGGATATTTGGAGCGATTTGAGGCCTACATTTGAAAATCAAATATCTTCCCTTCAAAGCTACACAGAAACATTCTCAGAAATTGTTTGTCATGTGGGCTTTCAAATTACCAGTTGAACCTATCTTGTGATTGAGCAGTTCTGAATCTCTCTTTTTGTGGAATCTGCAAGTGGATATTTTTAGCCCTTTGCGGACTGTGGTGGAAAAGGAATTATCTTCAAATCCATTCTACACAGAAGCATTCAGACAAACTTCTTTGTGATGAGTGCATTCGTCACACAGAGTTGATCCTTTCCTTTGATTGAGCAACTCTGAAACACTCTTTTAGAGGGTCTGCAAGTGGATATTTTAGAGCTTTGGGACAATTGTGGAAAAGTAAATATCTTCACATAAAAACTACACAGAGGCATTCTGAGAAACTTCTTTGTGAGATGTGCATTCAACTCACAGAGTTGAACCTATCTTTTCATTGAGCAGTTTTGAATCTCTCTTTTTGTAGACTCTGCTTGCGGATATTTGGAGAGCTTTGAGGCCTATTGTGGAAAAGGAAATATCTTCACATAAAAACACACAGAAGCATTCTGAGAAACTTCTTTGTGAGGTGTGCATTCAACTCACAGAGTTGAACCTATCTTTTGATTGAGCAGTTTTGAATCTCTCTTTTTGTAGAAGCTGCATGTGGATATTTGGAGACTTTTGCGGCCTATGGTGGAAAAGGTAATACCTTCAAATAAAAACTAGACAGAAGCATTTTGAGAAACTTCTCTGTGCTGTGTGCATTCATATCACAGGGTTGAAACTACCTTTTGATTGAGCAGTTTTGAATCTCTCTTTTTGTACCATGTGCAAGTGGATATTTGGAGCCCTTTGTGGTCTATGGTGGAAAAGGAACTATCCTCAAATAAAAACTACACAGAAGTATTCCGAGAAACTTCCCTTGTGATGTGTGCATTCATCTCACAGGGTTGAACCTTTGGTTTGATTGAGCAGTTTTGAGACAATCTTTCCATAGAATCTGGAAGTGAATATTTGGAGAACCTTGAGATCTATTTTGGAGAAGGAGATATCTTTATATGAAAACTGCACAGAAGCATTCTGAGAAACATCTTTGTGAGGTGTGCAATGAAGTCACAGAGTTGAAACTATGTTTTGATTCAGCAGTTTTGAGTCTCTCTTTTTGCAGAATCTGCGAGTGGATATCTGGAGAACTTGGAGGCCTATTTGGAAAAGGAAATATCTTCACATATAAACTATGCAGAAGCATTTTGAGATTCTTCTTTGTGAGGTGTGCATGCAACTCACAGAGTTGAACTTATCTTTTCCTTGAGCACTTTCGTATCTCATTTTCTGTAGAATCTGCAAGTGGATATTTGGAGCTCTTTGCACCCTGTGGTGGAAAGGGAACTATCTTCATATAAAAACTACAAAGAAGCATTCAGAGAAACTTCTTGTGATGAATGCATTCCTCACACAGAGCTGAACCTTTCTTTTTATGGAGCAGTATTGAAACGCTCTTTTTGCAGAATCACCAAGTGGATATTTGGAGAGCTTTGGGGCCTGTTTTGGAAAATGAAATATCTTCAAAGTAAAACTACACAGAACCATTCTGAGAAACTTCTTTATGATGTGTGCATTCAACTCTCAGAGTTGAACCTACCTTATGATTGAGCAATTTGGAAACACTCTTTTTGTAGAGCCTGCAAGTGGATATTTAGAACGATTTGAGGCCTATTGTGGAAAAGCAAATATCTTCACATAAAAACTACACAGAAGCATTCTGAGAAACTTCTTTGGCATGTGTGCATTCAACTAACAGTGTTGAACGTATCTTTTGATTGAGCAGCTTAGAATCTCTCTTTTTGTAGAAAATGCAAGTAGATATTTGGAGCCCCATTTTGCCCTATGGTAGAAAACAAAACATCTTCACATAAAATCTACACAGAAGCATTCTGAGAAACTTCTTTGTGATGTTTGCATTGAACTCCCAGAGTCGAACCTATCTTTTGATAGAGCACTTTTGTATCTCTCTTTTTTGCGGAATCTGCAAGTGGATATTTGGAAAGCTTGAGGCCTATTGTGAAAAAGGAAATATCTTCACATAAAAACTACAGAGAAGCATTCTGAGAAACTTCTTTGTGAGGCATGGATTCAACCCACAGAGTTGGACTTATCATTGAGCAGTTTTGAATCTCTCTTTTTGTCGAATCTGCAAGTGGATATTTGGAGCCCTTTGCAACCTAGGGTGGAAAAGGAAATACCTTCAAATAAAAACTATATAGAAGCATTCCGTAAAACTTCTTTGTGATGTGTGCATTCGTCTCACAGAGTTGAACCTATCTAATGATTGAGCGGTTTTGAAACACTCATTTTGTAGAACCTGCAAGTGGATATTGGGAGTACTTTGTGGCCTTCTTTGGAAAAGGGAATATCTTCACATAAAAACTACAAAGAAGCATTCTGAGAAACTTCTTTGTGATGTGCGCATTCATCTCACAGTGTTGGACGTTTCTTTTGATAGGGCAGTTTTGAAACACTCTTTTTTTAGAATCTGCAAGTGGATATTTGGAGCGCTTTGAGGCCTAATGTGGAAAATCAAATATCTTCACATAAAAACTACACAGAGGCATTCTGAGAAACTTCTTTTTTGTGTGTGCATTCAACTCACATAGTTGAAGTAATCTTTGGATTTAGCTGTTTTGAATCTCCTTTTTGCAGAATCTGCAAGTTGATACTTGGAGCCCTGTTTCACCCTATAGTGGAAAAGCAAATATCTTCACATAAACAAACCCTACAGAGAAGCATTCAGAGAAAGTCCTTTGTGATGTGTGCATTGAACATGCAGAGTTGACACTATCTTTTGATTGTACAGTTTTGAATACGTCTTTTTGTAGAATCTGCAAGTGGAAGTTTGGAGCTGTTTGCACCCTGTGGTGTAAAAGGAAATATCTTCATATAAAAGCTACACAGAAAGCATTCAGAAAGACTTCTTTGTGATGAATGCGTTCCTCACACAGAGTTGAATCTTCCTTTTTATTGAGTAGTATTGAAACCCTCTTTTTGCAGAATAACCAGGTGGATATTTGGAGAGCTTTGAGGCCTGTTTTGGAAAAGGAAATATCTTCAAATTAAAACCACACAGAAGCATTCTGAGAAGCTTCTTTGTGATGTGTGCATTCAACTCTCAGAGTTCAACGTGTCTTATGATGGAGCAGTTTGGAAACACTCTTTTTGTAGAAACTGCAAGTGGATATGTAGAGCGATTTGAGGCCTACTGTGGAAAAGCAAATATCTTCACATAACAACTACACAGAAGCACTCCTAGAAACTTCTTTGTGATGTGTGAATTCAACTCACAGAGCTGAACCTATCTTTTGATGGAGTAGCTTAGAATCTCTCTTTTTTTAGAATCTGCACGTGGATATTTGGAGCGCTTTGAGACCTAAAGTGGAAAAGCAAATATCTTCACATAAAATCTACATAGAGGCACTCTAAGAAACTTCTTTTTGATGTGTGCATTCACCTCACAGAGCTGAACCGATCCTTCGAGTGACCAGTTTTGAATCTCTCTTTTTATACAATCTGCAAGTGGATATTTGGAGCCCTTTGCGGCCTATGGTGGAAAAGGAAATATCTTCAAATAAAAACTACACAGAAATACTGTGAGAAACTTCTTTGTTATGTGAGCATTCAACTCACAGAGTTGAACCTATCTTTTGATTGAGCAGTTTTGAATCTCTCATTTTGCAGAATCTGCAAGGGGATATTTGGAGCCCTTTGCGGCCTATGGTGGAAAAGGAAATACCTTCAAATGAAAAGCACACAGAGGCATTCTGAGAAACTTCCTCGTGATTGTGCATTCAACTCACAGAGTTAAACCTATCTTATGATTGACCAGTTTTGGAACACTCTTTTCATAGGATCTGCAAGTGGATATTTGGCGTGCTTTGAGGCCTATCGTGGAAAAGCAAACTATACAGAAGCATTCTGAGAAACTTCTTTGTGATGTGTGCATTGATCTCACAGAGTTGAAAGTGTATTTTGATTGAGCAGTTTTGAAACACTCTTTTTGTAGAATCTGCAAGTGGATAATTGGGGAGATTTGAGGTATATTGTGGAAAAGCAAGTATCTTCATATAAAAACTATACAGAAGCTTTCTGAGAAACATCTTTGTGAGGTTTGCATTCAACTCACAGAGCTGGAACTATCTTTTGAGTGACCAGTTTTGAATCTCTCTTTTTGTACAATCTGCAAGTGGATATTTGGAGCGTTTTGAGGCCTACATTTGAAAATCAAATATCTTCCCTTAAAAGCTACACAGAAACATTCTCAGAAATTGTTTGTCATGTGTGCTTTCAAATTACCAAGTTGAACCTACCTTGTGATTGAGCAGTTTTGAATCTCTCTTTTTGTGGAATCTGCAAGTGGATATTTTTAGCCATTTGCGGACTGTGGTGGAAAAGGAATTATCTTCAAATCCATTCTACACAGAAGCATTCAGACAAACTTTTTGTGATGAGTGCATTGGTCACACAGAATTGAACCTCTCCTTTGATTGAGCAATTCTGAAACACTCTTTCAGAGGGTCTGCAAGTGGATATTTTAGAGCTTTGGGACAATTGTGGAAAAGTAAATATCTTCACATAAAAACTACACGGAAGCATTCTGAGAAACTTCTTTGGAGGTGTGCATTCAACTCACAGAGTTGAACCTATCTTTTCACTGAGCAGTTTTGAATCTCTCTTTTTGTAGACTCTGCTTGCAGATATTTGGAGAGCTTTGAGGCCTATTGTGGAAAAGGGATCATCTTCACATAAAAACACACAGAAGCACTCTGAGAAACTTCTTTGTGAAGTGTGCATTCAACTCACAGAGTTGAACCTATCTTTTGATTGAGAAGCTTTGAATCTCTCTTTTTGTAGAAGCTGCATGTGGATATTTGGAGACGTTTGTGGCCTATGGTAGAAAAGGCAATATCTTCAAATAAAAACTAGACAGAAGCATTTTGAGAAATTTCTCTGTGCTGTGTGCATTCATATCACATGGTTGAAACTACCTTTTGATTGAGCAGTTTTGAATCTCTCTTTTTGTACCATCTGCAATGGATATTTGGAGCCCTTTGTGGTCTGTGGTGGAAAAGGAACTATCCTCAAATAAAAACTACACAGAAGTATTCCGAGAAACTTCCTTGTGATGTGTGCATTCATCTCATACGGTTGAACCTTTGGTTTGATTGAGCAGTTTTGAGACAATCTTTCCATAGAATCTGGAAGTGAATATTTGGAGAACCTTGAGATCTATTTTGGAGAAGGAGATATCTTTATATAAAAACTGCACAGAAGCATTCTGAGAAACATCTTTGTGAGGTGTGCAATGAAGTCACAGAGTTGAAACTATGTTTTGATTCAGCAGTTTTGAGTCTCTCTTTTTGCAGAATCTGCGAGTGGATATCTGGAGAACTTGGAGGCCTATTTGGAAAAGGAAATATCTTCACATATAAACTATACAGAAGCATTTTGAGATTCTTCTTTGTGAGGTGTGCATGCAACTCACAGAGTTGAACTTATCTTTTCCTTGAGCACTTTCGTATCTCATTTTCTGTAGAATCTGCAAGTGGATATTTGGAGCTCTTTGCACCCTGTGGTGGAAAGGGAACTATCTTCATATAAAAACTACAAAGAAGCATTCAGAGAAACTTCTTTGTGATGAATGCATTCCTCACACAGAGCTGAACGTTTCTTTTTATTGAGCAGTATTGAAACGCTCTTTTTGCAGAATCACCAAGTAGATATTTGGAGAGCTTTGGGGCCTGTTTTGGAAAATGAAATATCTTCAAAGTAAAACTACACAGAACCATTCTGAGAAACTTCTTTATGATGTGTGCATTCAACTCTCAGAGTTGAACCTACCTTATGACTGACCAATTTGGAAACACTCTTTTTGTAGAGCCTGCAAGTGGATATTTAGAACGATTTGAGGCCTATTGTGGAAAAGCAAATATCTTCACATAAAAACTACACAGAAGCATTCTGAGAAACTTCTTTGGCATGTGTGCATTCAACTAACAGTGTTGAACGTATCTTTTGATTGAGCAGCTTAGAATCTCTCTTTTTGTAGAAAATGCAAGTAGATATTTGGAGCCCCATTTTGCCCTATGGTAGAAAACAGAACATCTTCACATAAAAACTACACAGAAGCATTCTGAGAAACTTCTTTGTGATGTTTGCATTGAACTCCCAGAGTCGAACCTATCTTTTGATAGAGCACTTTTGTATCTCTCTTTTTGCGGAATCTGCAAGTGGATATTTGGAAAGCTTGAGGCCTATTGTGAAAAAGGAAATATCTTCACATAAAAACTACAGAGAAGCATTCTGAGAAACTTCTTTGTGAGGCATGGATTCAACCCACAGAGTTGGACTTATCATTGAGCAGTTTTGAATCTCTCTTTTTGTCGAATCTGCAAGTGGATATTTGGAGCCCTTTGCAACCTAGGGTGGAAAAGGAAATACCTTCAAATAAAAACTATATAGAAGCATTCCGTAAAACTTCTTTGTGACGTGTGCATTCGTCTCACAGAGTTGAACCTATCTAATGATTGAGCGGTTTTGAAACACTCATTTTGTAGAACCTGCAAGTGGATATTGGGAGTACTTTGTGGCCTTCTTTGGAAAAGGGAATATCTTCACATAAAAATTACAAAGAAGCATTCTGAGAAACTTCTTTGTGATGTGTGCATGCATCTCACAGTGTTGGACGTTTCTTTTGATAGGGCAGTTTCGAAAGAGTCTTCTTGTAGAGTCTGCAAGTGGATATTTGGAGCGCTTTGAGGCCTAATGTGGAAAATCAAATATCTTCACATAAAAACTACACAGAGGCATTCTGAGAAACTTCTTTTTTGTGTGTGCATTCAACTCACATAGTTGAAGTTATCTTTCGATTTAGCTGTTTTGAATCTCCTTTTTGCAGAATCTGCAAGTTGATACATGGAGCCCTGTTTCACCCTATAGTGGAAAAGCAAATATCTTCACATAAACAAACACTACAGAGAAGCATTCAGAGAAAGTCCTTTGTGATGTGTGCATTGAACACGCAGAGTTGAAACTATCTTTTGATTGTACAGTTTTGAATATCTCTTTTTGTAGAATCTGCAAGTGGAAGTTTGGAGCTGTTTGCACGCTGTGGTGCAAAAGGAAATATCTTCATATAAAAACTACACAGAAGCTTTCAGAGAGACTTCTTTGTGAGGAATGCGTTCCTCACACAGAGTTGAATCTACCTTTTTATTGAGTAGTTTTGAAACCCTCTTTTTGCAGAATAACCAGGGGGATATTTGGAGAGCTTTGAGGCCTGTTTTGGAAAAGGAAATATCTTCAAATTAAAACCACACAGAAGCATTCTGAGAAACTTCTTTGTGATGTGTGCATTCAACTCTCAGAGTTGAACGTGTCTTATGATGGAGCAGTTTGGAAACACTCTTTTTGTAGAAACTGCAAGTGGATATGTAGAGCGATTTGAGGCCTACTGTGGAAAAGCAAATATCTTCACATAACAACTACACAGAAGCACTCCTAGAAACTTCTTTGTGATGTGTGAATTCAACTCACAGAGCTGAACCTATCTTTTGATGGAGTAGCTTAGAATCTCTCTTTTTTTAGAATCTGCACGTGGATATTTGGAGCGCTTTGAGACCTAAAGTGGAAAAGCAAATATCTTCACATAAAATCTACATAGAGGCACTCTAAGAAACTTCTTTTTGATGTGTGTATTCAACTCACAGAGCTGAACCTATCTTTTGAGTGACCAGTTTTGAATCTCTCTTTTTGTACAATCTGCATTTGGATATTTGGAGCCCTTTGCGGCCTATGGTGGAAAAGGAAATATCTTCAAATAAAAACTACACAGAAATACTGTGAGAAACTTCTTTGTTATGTGAGCATTCAACTCACAGAGCTGAACCTATCTTTTGATTGAGCAGTTTTGAATCTCTCATTTTGCAGAATCTGCAAGGGGATATTTGGAGCCCTTTGCTACCTAGGGTGGAAAAGGAAATACCTCCAAATAAAAACTACACAGAGGCATTCTGAGAAACTTCTTGTGATTGTGCATTCAACTCACAGAGTTAAACCTATCTTATGATTGACCAGTTTTGGAACACTGTTTTCACAGGATCTGCAAGTGGATATTTGGTGTGCTTTGAGGCCTATCGTGGAAAAGCAAGTAACTTCAGATAAAAACTATACAGAAGCATTCTGAGAAACTTCTTTGTGATGTGTGCATTGATCTCACAGAGTTGAAAGTGTATTTTGATTGAGCAGTTTTAAAACACTCCTTCTGTAGAATCTGCAAGTGGATAATTGGAGAGATTTGAGGTATGTTGTGGAAAAGCAAATATCTTCATATAAAAACTATACAGAAGCTTTCTGAGAAACATCTTTGTGAGGTTTGCATTCAACTCACAGAGCTGGAACTATCTTTTGAGTGACCAGTTTTGAATCTCTCTTTTTGTACAATCTGCAAGTGGATATTTGGAGCGTTTTGAGGCCTACATTTGAAAATCAAATATCTTCCCTTAAAAGCTACACAGAAACATTCTCAGAAATTGTTTGTCATGTGTGCTTTCAAATTACCAAGTTGAACCTACCTTGTGATTGAGCAGTTTTGAATCTCTCTTTTTGTGGAATCTGCAAGTGGATATTTTTAGCCATTTGCGGACTGTGGTGGAAAAGGAATTATCTTCAAATCCATTCTACACAGAAGCATTCAGACAAACTTTTTGTGATGAGTGCATTGGTCACACAGAATTGAACCTCTCCTTTGATTGAGCAATTCTGAAACACTCTTTCAGAGGGTCTCGCAAGTGGATATTTTAGAGCTTTGGGACAATTGTGGAAAAGTAAATATCTTCACATAGAAACTACACGGAAGCATTCTGAGAAACTTCTTTGGAGGTGTGCATTCAACTCACAGAGTTGAACCTATCTTTTCATTGAGCAGTTTTGAATCTCTCTTTTTGTAGACTCTGCTTGCAGATACTTGGAGAGCTTTGAGGCCTATTGTGGAAAAGGAATCATCTTCACATAAAAACACACAGAAGCACTCTGAGAAACTTCTTTGTGAAGTGTGCATTCAACTCACAGAGTTGAACCTATCTTTTGATTGAGAAGCTTTGAATCTCTCTTTTTGTAGAAGCTGCATGTGGATATTTGGAGACGTTTGTGGCCTATGGTAGAAAAGGCAATATCTTCAAATAAAAACTAGACAGAAGCATTTTGAGAAATTTCTCTGTGCTGTGTGCATTCATATCACATGGTTGAAACTACCTTTTGATTGAGCAGTTTTGAATCTCTCTTTTTGTACCATCTGCAATGGATATTTGGAGCCCTTTGTGGTCTGTGGTGGAAAAGGAACTATCCTCAAATAAAAACTACACAGAAGTATTCCGAGAAACTTCCTTGTGATGTGTGCATTCATCTCATAGGGTTGAACCTTTGGTTTGATTGAGCAGTTTTGAGACAATCTTTCCATAGAATCTGGAAGTGAATATTTGGAGAACCTTGAGATCTATTTTGGAGAAGGAGATATCTTTATATAAAAACTGCACAGAAGCATTCTGAGAAACATCTTTGTGAGGTGTGCAATGAAGTCACAGAGTTGAAACTATGTTTTGATTCAGCAGTTTTGAGTCTCTCTTTTTGCAGAATCTGCGAGTGGATATCTGGAGAACTTGGAGGCCTATTTGGAAAAGGAAATATCTTCACATATAAACTATGCAGAAGCATTTTGAGATTCTTCTTTGTGAGGTGTGCATGCAACTCACAGAGTTGAACTTATCTTTTCCTTGAGCACTTTCGTATCTCATTTTCTGTAGAATCTGCAAGTGGAT
The DNA here is from genome assembly GCF_000001405.40 of Homo sapiens. NCBI lineage: Eukaryota > Metazoa > Chordata > Mammalia > Primates > Hominidae > Homo > Homo sapiens. Next base: position 17,432,406 of record NC_000015.10, read on the forward strand.
ATTTGGAGCTCTTTGCACCCTGTGGTGGAAAGGGAACTATCTTCATATAAAAACTACAAAGAAGCATTCAGAGAAACTTCTTTGTGATGAATGCATTCCTCACACAGAGCTGAACGTTTCTTTTTATTGAGCAGTATTGAAACGCTCTTTTTGCAGAATCACCAAGTGGATATTTGGAGAGCTTTGGGGCCTGTTTTGGAAAATGAAATATCTTCAAAGTAAAACTACACAGAACCATTCTGAGAAACTTCTTTATGATGTGTGCATTCAACTCTCAGAGTTGAACCTACCTTATGATTGAGCAATTTGGAAACACTCTTTTTGTAGAGCCTGCAAGTGGATATTTAGAACGATTTGAGGCCTATTGTGGAAAAGCAAATATCTTCACATAAAAACTACACAGAAGCATTCTGAGAAACTTCTTTGGCATGTGTGCATTCAACTAACAGTGTTGAACGTATCTTTTGATTGAGCAGCTTAGAATCTCTCTTTTTGTAGAAAATGCAAGTAGATATTTGGAGCCCCATTTTGCCCTATGGTAGAAAACAAAACATCTTCACATAAAATCTACACAGAAGCATTCTGAGAAACTTCTTTGTGATGTTTGCATTGAACTCCCAGAGTCGAACCTATCTTTTGATAGAGCACTTTTGTATCTCTCTTTTTGCGGAATCTGCAAGTGGATATTTGGAAAGCTTGAGGCCTATTGTGAAAAAGGAAATATCTTCACATAAAAACTACAGAGAAGCATTCTGAGAAACTTCTTTGTGAGGCATGGATTCAACCCACAGAGTTGGACTTATCATTGAGCAGTTTTGAATCTCTCTTTTTGTCGAATCTGCAAGTGGATATTTGGAGCCCTTTGCAACCTAGGGTGGAAAAGGAAATACCTTCAAATAAAAACTATATAGAAGCATTCCGTAAAACTTCTTTGTGATGTGTGCATTCGTCTCACAGAGTTGAACCTATCTAATGATTGAGCGGTTTTGAAACACTCATTTTGTAGAACCTGCAAGTGGATATTGGGAGTACTTTGTGGCCTTCTTTGGAAAAGGGAATATCTTCACATAAAAACTACAAAGAAGCATTCTGAGAAACTTCTTTGTGATGTGTGCATTCATCTCACAGTGTTGGACGTTTCTTTTGATAGGGCAGTTTTGAAACACTCTTTTTCTAGAATCTGCAAGTGGATATTTGGAGCGCTTTGAGGCCTAATGTGGAAAATCAAATATCTTCACATAAAAACTACACAGAGGCATTCTGAGAAACTTCTTTTTTTGTGTGTGCATTCAACTCACATAGTTGAAGTAATCTTTGGATTTAGCTGTTTTGAATCTCCTTTTTGCAGAATCTGCAAGTTGATACTTGGAGCCCTGTTTCACCCTATAGTGGAAAAGCAAATATCTTCACATAAACAAACCCTACAGAGAAGCATTCAGAGAAAGTCCTTTGTGATGTGTGCATTGAACATGCACAGTTGACACTATCTTTTGATTGTACAGTTTTGAATACGTCTTTTTGTAGAATCTGCAAGTGGAAGTTTGGAGCTGTTTGCACCCTGTGGTGTAAAAGGAAATATCTTCATATAAAAGCTACACAGAAGCATTCAGAAAGACTTCTTTGTGATGAATGCGTTCCTCACACAGAGTTGAATCTTCCTTTTTATTGAGTAGTATTGAAACCCTCTTTTTGCAGAATAACCAGGTGGATATTTGGAGAGCTTTGAGGCCTGTTTTGGAAAAGGAAATATCTTCAAATTAAAACCACACAGAAGCATTCTGAGAAGCTTCTTTGTGATGTGTGCATTCAACTCTCAGAGTTGAACGTGTCTTATGATGGAGCAGTTTGGAAACACTCTTTTTGTAGAAACTGCAAGTGGATATGTAGAGCGATTTGAGGCCTACTGTGGAAAAGCAAATATCTTCACATAACAACTACACAGAAGCACTCCTAGAAACTTCTTTGTGATGTGTGAATTCAACTCACAGAGCTGAACCTATCTTTTGATGGAGTAGCTTAGAATCTCTCTTTTTTTAGAATCTGCACGTGGATATTTGGAGCGCTTTGAGACCTAAAGTGGAAAAGCAAATATCTTCACATAAAATCTACATAGAAGGCACTCTAAGAAACTTCTTTTTGATGTGTGCATTCACCTCACAGAGCTGAACCGATCCTTTGAGTGACCAGTTTTGAATCTCTCTTTTTATACAATCTGCAAGTGGATATTTGGAGCCCTTTGCGGCCTATGGTGGAAAAGGAAATATCTTCAAATAAAAACTACACAGAAATACTGTGAGAAACTTCTTTGTTATGTGAGCATTCAACTCACAGAGTTGAACCTATCTTTTGATTGAGCAGTTTTGAATCTCTCATTTTGCAGAATCTGCAAGGGGATATTTGGAGCCCTTTGCGGCCTATGGTGGAAAAGGAAATACCTTCAAATGAAAAGCACACAGAGGCATTCTGAGAAACTTCCTCGTGATTGTGCATTCAACTCACAGAGTTAAACCTATCTTATGATTGACCAGTTTTGGAACACTCTTTTCATAGGATCTGCAAGTGGATATTTGGCGTGCTTTGAGGCCTATCGTGGAAAAGCAAATAACTTCAGATAAAAACTATACAGAAGCATTCTGAGAAACTTCTTTGTGATGTGTGCATTGATCTCACAGAGTTGAAAGTGTATTTTGATTGAGCAGTTTTGAAACACTCTTTTTGTAGAATCTGCAAGTGGATAATTGGGGAGATTTGAGGTATATTGTGGAAAAGCAAGTATCTTCATATAAAAACTATACAGAAGCTTTCTGAGAAACATCTTTGTGAGGTTTGCATTCAACTCACAGAGCTGGAACTATCTTTTGAGTGACCAGTTTTGAATCTCTCTTTTTGTACAATCTGCAAGTGGATATTTGGAGCGTTTTGAGGCCTACATTTGAAAATCAAATATCTTCCCTTAAAAGCTACACAGAAACATTCTCAGAAATTGTTTGTCATGTGGGCTTTCAAATTACCAAGTTGAACCTATCTTGTGATTGAGCAGTTCTGAATCTCTCTTTTTGTGGAATCTGCAAATGGATATTTTTAGCCCTTTGCGGACTGTGGTGGAAAAGGAATTATCTTCAAATCCATTCTACACAGAAGCATTCAGACAAACTTTTTGTGATGAGTGCATTGGTCACACAGAATTGAACCTCTCCTTTGATTGAGCAATTCTGAAACACTCTTTCAGAGGGTCTGCAAGTGGATATTTTAGAGCTTTGGGACAATTGTGGAAAAGTAAATATCTTCACATAGAAACTACACGGAAGCATTCTGAGAAACTTCTTTGGAGGTGTGCATTCAACTCACAGAGTTGAACCTATCTTTTCATTGAGCAGTTTTGAATCTCTCTTTTTGTAGACTCTGCTTGCAGATATTTGGAGAGCTTTGAGGCCTATTGTGGAAAAGGAATCATCTTCACATAAAAACACACAGAAGCACTCTGAGAAACTTCTTTGTGAAGTGTGCATTCAACTCACAGAGTTGAACCTATCTTTTGATTGAGAAGCTTTGAATCTCTCTTTTTGTAGAAGCTGCATGTGGATATTTGGAGACGTTTGTGGCCTATGGTAGAAAAGGCAATATCTTCAAATAAAAACTAGACAGAAGCATTTTGAGAAATTTCTCTGTGCTGTGTGCATTCATATCACATGGTTGAAACTACCTTTTGATTGAGCAGTTTTGAATCTCTCTTTTTGTACCATCTGCAATGGATATTTGGAGCCCTTTGTGGTCTGTGGTGGAAAAGGAACTATCCTCAAATAAAAACTACACAGAAGTATTCCGAGAAACTTCCTTGTGATGTGTGCATTCATCTCATAGGGTTGAACCTTTGGTTTGATTGAGCAGTTTTGAGACAATCTTTCCATAGAATCTGGAAGTGAATATTTGGAGAACCTTGAGATCTATTTTGGAGAAGGAGATATCTTTATATAAAAACTGCACAGAAGCATTCTGAGAAACATCTTTGTGAGGTGTGCATTGAAGTCACAGAGTTGAAACTATGTTTTGATTCAGCAGTTTTGAGTCTCTCTTTTTGCAAAATCTGCGAGTGGATATCTGGAGAACTTGGAGGCCTATTTGGAAAAGGAAATATCTTCACATATAAACTATGCAGAAGCATTTTGAGATTCTTCTTTGTGAGGTGTGCATTCAACTCACAGAGTTGAACTTATCTTTTCCTTGAGCACTTTCATATCTCATTTTCTGTAGAATCTGCAAGTGGATATTTGGAGCTCTTTGCACCCTGTGGTGGAAAGGGAACTATCTTCATATAAAAACTACAAAGAAGCATTCAGAGAAACTTCTTTGTGATGAATGCATTCCTCACACAGAGTTGAGCCTTTCTTTTTATTGAGCAGTATTGAAACGCTCCTTTTGCAGAATCACCAAGTGGATATTTGGAGAGCTTTGGGGCCTGATTTGGAAAATGAAATATCTTCAAAGTAAAACTACACAGAACCATTCTGAGAAACTTCTTCATGATGTGAGCATTCAACTCTCAGAGTTGAAGCTACCTTATGATTGAGCAATTTGGAAACACTCTTTTTGTAGAGCCTGCAAGTGGATATTTAGAACGATTTGAGGCCTATTGTGGAAAAGCAAATATCTTCACATAAAAACTACACAGAAGCATTCTGAGAAACTTCTTTGGCATGTGTGCATTCAACTAACAGTGTTGAACGTATCTTTTGATTGAGCAGCTTAGAATCTCTCTTTTTGTAGAAAATGCAAGTAGATATTTGGAGCCCCATTTTGCCCTATGGTAGAAAACAAAACATCTTCACATAAAATCTACACAGAAGCATTCTGAGAATCTTCTTTGTGATGTTTGCATTGAACTCACCAGAGTCGAACCTATCTTTTGATAGAGCAGTTTTGTATCTCTCTTTTTGCAGAATCTGCAAGTGGATATTTGGAAAGCTTGAGGCCTATTGTGAAAAAGGAAATATCTTCACATAGAAACTACAGAGAAGCATTCTGAGAAACTTCTCTGTGAGGCATGGATTCAACCCACAGAGTTGGACTTATCATTGAGCAGTTTTGAATCTCTCTTTTGGTCGAATCTGCAAGTGGGTATTTGGAGCCCTTTTGCAACCTATGGCGGAAAAGGAAACACCTTCACCTAAAAACTATATAGAAGCATTCCGTAAAACTTCTTTGTGATGTGTGCATTCGTCTCACAGAGTTGAACCTATCTAATGATTGAGCGGTTTTGAAACACTCATTTTGTAGAACCTGCAAGTGGATATTGGGAGTACTTTGTGGCCTTCTTTGGAAAAGGGAATATCTTCACATAAAAACTACAAAGAAGCATTCTGAGAAACTTCTTTGTGATGTGCGCATTCATCTCACAGTGTTGGACGTTTCTTTTGATAGGGCAGTTTTGAAACACTCTTTTTCTAGAATCTGCAAGTGGATATTTGGAGCGCTTTGAGGCCTAATGTGGAAAATCAAATATCTTCACATAAAAAGTACACAGAGGCATTCTGAGAAACTTCTTTTTTGTGTGTGCATTCAACTCACATAGTTGAAGTTATCTTTCGATTTAGCTGTTTTGAATCTCCTTTTTGCAGAATCTGCAAGTTGACACCTGGAGCCCTGTTTCACCCTATAGTGGAAAAGCAAATATCTCCACATAAACAAACACTACAGAGAAGCATTCAGAGAAAGTCCTTTGTGATGTGTGCATTGAACACGCAGAGTTGAAACTATCTTTTGATTGTAGAGTTTTGAATATCTCTTTTTGTAGAATCTGCAAGTGGAAGTTTGGAGCTGTTTGCACGCTGTGGTGCAAAAGGAAATATCTTCATATAAAAACTACACAGAAGCTTTCAGAGAGACTTCTTTGTGAGGAATGCGTTCCTCACACAGAGTTGAATCTTCCTTTTTATTGAGTAGTTTTGAAACCCTCTTTTTGCAGAATAACCAGGGGGATATTTGGAGAGCTTTGAGGCCTGTTTTGGAAAAGGAAATATCTTCAAATTAAAACCACACAGAAGCATTCTGAGAAACTTCTTTGTGATGTGTGCATTCAACTCTCAGAGTTCAACGTGTCTTATGATGGAGCAGTTTGGAAACACTCTTTTTTGTAGAAACTGCAAGTGGATATGTAGAGCGATTTGAGGCCTACTGTGGAAAAGCAAATATCTTCACATAACGACTACACAGAAGCACTCCTAGAAACTTCTTTGTGATGTGTGAATTCAACTCACAGAGCTGAACCTATCTTTTGATGGAGTAGCTTAGAATCTCTCTTTTTTTAGAATCTGCACGTGGATATTTGGAGCGCTTTGAGACCTAAAGTGGAAAAGCAAATATCTTCACATAAAATCTACATAGAGGCACTCTAAGAAACTTCTTTTTGATGTGTGCATTCAACTCACAGAGCTGAAGCACACAGTGCTTGAGTGACCAGTTTTGAATCTCTCTTTTTGTACAATCTGCAAGTGGATATTGGGAGCCCTTTGCGGCCTGTGGTGGAAAAGGAAATATCTTCAAATAAAAACTACACAGAAATACTGTGAGAAACTTCTTTGTTATGTGAGCATTCAACTCACAGAGCTGAACCTATCTTTTGATTGAGCAGTTTTGAATCTCTCATTTTGCAGAATCTGCAAGGGGATATTTGGAGCCCTTTGCTACCTAGGGTGGAAAAGGAAATACCTCCAAATAAAAACTACACAGAGGCATTCTGAGAAACTTCTTGTGATTGTGCATTCAACTCACAGAGTTAAACCTATCTTATGATTGACCAGTTTTGGAACACTGTTTTCACAGGATCTGCAAGTGGATATTTGGTGTGCTTTGAGGCCTATCGTTGAAAAGCAAGTAACTTCAGATAAAAACTATACAGAAGCATTCTGAGAAACTTCTTTGTGATGTGTGCATTGATCTCACAGAGTTGAAAGTGTATTTTGATTGAGCAGTTTTAAAACACTCCTTCTGTAGAATCTGCAAGTGGATAATTGGAGAGATTTGAGGTATGTTGTGGAAAAGCAAATATCTTCATATAAAAACTATACAGAAGCCTTCTGAGAAACATCTTTGTGAGGTTTGCATTCAACTCACAGAGCTGGACCTATCTCTTGAGTGACCAGTTTTGAATCTCTCTTTTTGTTCAATCTGCAAGTGGATATTTGGAGCGATTTGAGGCCTACATTTGAAAATCAAATATCTTCCCTTAAAAACTACACAGAAACATTCTCAGAAATTGTTTGTCATGTGTGCTTTCAAATTACCAAGTTGAACCTACCTTGTGATTGAGCAGTTTTGAATCTCTCTTTTTGTGGAATCTGCAAGTGGATATTTTTAGCCATTTGCGGACTGTGGTGGAAAAGGAATTATCTTCAAATCCATTCTACACAGAAGCATTCAGACAAACTTTTTGTGATGAGTGCATTGGTCACACAGAATTGAACCTCTCCTTTGATTGAGCAATTCTGAAACACTCTTTCAGAGGGTCTGCAAGTGGATATTTTAGAGCTTTGGGACAATTGTGGAAAAGTAAATATCTTCACATAAAAACTACACGGAAGCATTCTGAGAAACTTCTTTGGAGGTGTGCATTCAACTCACAGAGTTGAACCTATCTTTTCATTGAGCAGTTTTGAATCTCTCTTTTTGTAGACTCTGCTTGCAGATATTTGGAGAGCTTTGAGGCCTATTGTGGAAAAGGGAATATGTTCACATAAAAACACACAGAAGCACTCTGAGAAACTTCTTTGTGAAGTGTGCATTCAACTCACAGAGTTGAACCTATCTTTTGATTGAGAAGCTTTGAATCTCTCTTTTTGTAGAAGCTGCATGTGGATATTTGGAGACGTTTGTGGCCTATGGTAGAAAAGGCAATATCTTCAAATAAAAACTAGACAGAAGCATTTTGAGAAATTTCTCTGTGCTGTGTGCATTCATATCACATGGTTGAAACTACCTTTTGGTTGAGCAGTTTTGAATCTCTCTTTTTGTAACATCTGCAATGGATATTTGGAGCCCTTTGTGGTCTGTGGTGGAAAAGGAACTATCCTCAAATAAAAACTACACAGAAGTATTCTGAGAAACTTCTTTGTGATGTGTGCATTTATCTCACAGAGTTGAACCTTTGGTTTGATTGAGCAGTTTTGAGATAATCTTTCCATAGAATCTGGAAGTGAATACTTGGATAACTTTGAGATCTATTTTGGAGAAGGAGATATCTTTATATAAAAACTGCACAGAAGCATTCTGAGAAACATGTTTGTGAGGTGTGCAATGAAGTCACAGAGTTGAAACTGTCTTTTGATTCAGCAGTTTTGAGTCTCTCTTTTTGCAGAATCTGCGAGTGGATATCTGGAGAACTTTGAGGCCTATTTGGAAAAGGAAATATCTTCACATAAAAACTACGCAGAAGCATTTTGAGATACTTCTTTGTGAGGTGTGCATTCAACTCACAGAGTTGAACTTATCTTTCCATGGAGCACTTTCATATCTCTTTTTTTGTGGAATCTGCAAGTGGATATTTGGAGCTCTTTGCACCCTGTGGTGGAAAGGGAAATATCTTCATATAAAAACTACAAAGAAGCATTCAGAGAAACTTCTTTGTGATGAATGCATTCCTCACACAGAGCTGAACGTTTCTTTTTATTGAGCAGTATTGAAACGCTCTTTTTGCAGAATCACCAAGTAGATATTTGGAGAGCTTTGGGGCCTGTTTTGGAAAATGAAATATCTTCAAAGTAAAACTACACAGAACCATTCTGAGAAACTTCTTTATGATGTGTGCATTCAACTCTCAGAGTTGAACCTACCTTATGATTGAGCAATTTGGAAACACTCTTTTTGTAGAGCCTGCAAGTGGATATTTAGAACGATTTGAGGCCTATTGTGGAAAAGCAAATATCTTCACATAAAAACTACACAGAAGCATTCTGAGAAACTTCTTTGGCATGTGTGCATTCAACTAACAGTGTTGAACGTATCTTTTGATTGAGCAGCTTAGAATCTCTCTTTTTGTAGAAAATGCAAGTAGAGATTTGGAGCCCCATTTTGCCCTATGGTAGAAAACAGAACATCTTCACATAAAAACTACACAGAAGCATTCTGAGAAACTTCTTTGTGATGTTTGCATTGAACTCCCAGAGTCGAACCTATCTTTTGATAGAGCACTTTTGTATCTCTCTTTTTGCGGAATCTGCAAGTGGATATTTGGAAAGCTTGAGGCCTATTGTGAAAAAGGAAATATCTTCACATAAAAACTACAGAGAAGCATTCTGAGAAACTTCTTTGTGAGGCATGGATTCAACCCACAGAGTTGGACTTGTCATTGAGCAGTTTTGAATCTCTCTTTTTGTCGAATCTGCAAGTGGATATTTGGAGCCCTTTGCAACCTAGGGTGGAAAAGGAAATACCTTCAAATAAAAACTATATAGAAGCATTCTGAAAAACTTCTTTGTGATGTGTGCATTCTTCTCACAGGGTTGAACCTATCTAATGACTGAGCAGTTTTGAAACACTCATTTTGTAGGAACCGCAAGTGGATATTTGGTGCGTTTGAGGGCTTCGTGGAAAAGCAAATATCTTCACATAAAAACTACACAGAAGCATTCTGAGAAACTTCTTTGTGATGTGTGCATGCATCTCACAGTGTTGGACGTTTCTTTTGATGGGGCAGTTTCGAAAGAGTCTTCTTGTAGAGTCTGCAAGTGGATATTTGGAGCGCTTTGAGGCCTAATGTGGAAAATCAAATATCTTCACATAAAAACTACACAGAGGCATTCTGAGAAACTTCTTTTTTGTGTGTGCATTCAACTCACATAGTTGAAGTTATCTTTCGATTTAGCTGTTTTGAATCTCCTTTTTGCAGAATCTGCAAGTTGATACCTGGAGCCCTGTTTCACCCTATAGTGGAAAAGCAAATATCTTCACATAAACAAACACTACAGAGAAGCATTCAGAGAAAGTCCTTTGTGATGTGTGCATTGAACATGCAGAGTTGAAACTATCTTTTGATTGTACAGTTTTGAATATCTCTTTTTGTAGAATCTGCAAGTGGAAGTTTGGAGCTGTTTGCACGCTGTGGTGCAAAAGGAAATATCTTCATATAAAAACTACACAGAAGCTTTCAGAGAGACTTCTTTGTGAGGAATGCGTTCCTCACACAGAGTTGAATCTACCTTTTTATTGAGTAGTTTTGAAACCCTCTTTTTGCAGAATAACCAGGGGGATATTTGGAGAGCTTTGAGGCCTGTTTTGGAAAAGGAAATATCTTCAAATTAAAACCACACAGAAGCATTCTGAGAAACTTCTTTGTGATGTGTGCATTCAACTCTCAGAGTTGAACGTGTCTTATGATGGAGCAGTTTGGAAACACTCTTTTTGTAGAAACTGCAAGTGGATATGTAGAGCGATTTGAGGCCTACTGTGGAAAAGCAAATATCTTCACATAACAACTACACAGAAGCACTCCTAGAAACTTCTTTGTGATGTGTGAATTCAACTCACAGAGCTGAACCTATCTTTTGATGGAGTAGCTTAGAATCTCTCTTTTTTTAGAATCTGCACGTGGATATTTGGAGCGCTTTGAGACCTAAAGTGGAAAAGCAAATATCTTCACATAAAATCTACATAGAGGCACTCTAAGAAACTTCTTTTTGATGTGTGCATTCACCTCACAGAGCTGAACCGATCCTTCGAGTGACCAGTTTTGAATCTCTCTTTTTATACAATCTGCAAGTGGATATTTGGAGCCCTTTGCGGCCTATGGTGGAAAAGGAAATATCTTCAAATAAAAACTACACAGAAATACTGTGAGAAACTTCTTTGTTATGTGAGCATTCAACTCACAGAGTTGAACCTATCTTTTGATTGAGCAGTTTTGAATCTCTCATTTTGCAGAATCTGCAAGGGGATATTTGGAGCCCTTTGCGGCCTATGGTGGAAAAGGAAATACCTTCAAATGAAAAGCACACAGAGGCATTCTGAGAAACTTCCTCGTGATTGTGCATTCAACTCACAGAGTTAAACCTATCTTATGATTGACCAGTTTTGGAACACTCTTTTCATAGGATCTGCAAGTGGATATTTGGCGTGCTTTGAGGCCTATCGTGGAAAAGCAAATAACTTCAGATAAAAACTATACAGAAGCATTCTGAGAAACTTCTTTGTGATGTGTGCATTGATCTCACAGAGTTGAAAGTGTATTTTGATTGAACAGTTTTAAAACACTCCTTCTGTAGAATCTGCAAGTGGATAATTGGAGAGATTTGAGGTATGTTGTGGAAAAGCAAATATCTTCATATAAAAACTATACAGAAGCTTTCTGAGAAACATCTTTGTGAGGTTTGCATTCAACTCACAGAGCTGGAACTATCTTTTGAGTGACCAGTTTTGAATCTCTCTTTTTGTACAATCTGCAAGTGGATATTTGGAGCGTTTTGAGGCCTACATTTGAAAATCAAATATCTTCCCTTAAAAGCTACACAGAAACATTCTCAGAAATTGTTTGTCATGTGTGCTTTCAAATTACCAAGTTGAACCTACCTTGTGATTGAGCAGTTTTGAATCTCTCTTTTTGTGGAATCTGCAAGTGGATATTTTTAGCCATTTGCGGACTGTGGTGGAAAAGGAATTATCTTCAAATCCATTCTACACAGAAGCATTCAGACAAACTTTTTGTGATGAGTGCATTGGTCACACAGAATTGAACCTCTCCTTTGATTGAGCAATTCTGAAACACTCTTTCAGAGGGTCTGCAAGTGGATATTTTAGAGCTTTGGGACAATTGTGGAAAAGTAAATATCTTCACATAAAAACTACACGGAAGCATTCTGAGAAACTTCTTTGGAGGTGTGCATTCAACTCACAGAGTTGAACCTATCTTTTCATTGAGCAGTTTTGAATCTCTCTTTTTGTAGACTCTGCTTGCAGATACTTGGAGAGCTTTGAGGCCTATTGTGGAAAAGGAATCATCTTCACATAAAAACACACAGAAGCACTCTGAGAAACTTCTTTGTGAGGTGTGCATTCAACTCACAGAGTTGAACCTATCTTTTGATGGAGAAGTTTTGAATCTCTCTTTTTGTAGAAGCTGCATGTGGATATTTGGAGACGTTTGTGGCCTATGGTAGAAAAGGATATATCTTCAAATAAAAACTAGACAGAAGCATTTTGAGAAAATTCTCTGTGCTGTGTGCATTCATATCACATGGTTGAAACTACCTTTTGATTGAGCAGTTTCGAGTCTCTCTGTTTGTACCATCTGCAATGGATATTTGGAGCCCTTTGTGGTCTGTGGTGGAAAAGGAACTATCCTCAAATAAAAACTACACGGAAGTATTCTGAGAAACTTCTTTGTGATGTGTGCATTTATCTCACAGAGTTGAACCTTTGGTTTGATTGAGCAGTTTTGAGATAATCTTTCCATAGAATCTGGAAGTGAATACTTGGATAACTTTGAGATCTATTTTGGAGAAGGAGATATCTTTATATAAAAACTGCACAGAAGCATTCTGAGAAACATCTTTGTGAGGTGTGCAATGAAGTCACAGAGTTGAAACTATCTTTTGATTCAGCAGTTTTGAGTCTCTCTTTTTGCAGAATCTGCGAGTGGATATCTGGAGAACGTTGAGGCCTACTTGGAAAAGGAAATATCTTCACATAAAAACTACGCAGAAGCATTTTGAGATACTTCTTTGTGAGGTGTGCATTCAACTCACAGAAGTTGAACTTATCTTTCCATGGAGCACTTTCATATCTCTTTTTTTGTGGAATCTGCAAGTGGATATTTGGAGCTCTTTGCACCCTGTGGTGGAAAGGGAAATATCTTCATATAAAAACTACAAAGAAGCATTCAGAGAAACTTCTTTGTGATGAATGCATTCCTCACACAGAGTTGAGCCTTTCTTTTTATTGAGCAGTATTGAAACGCTCCTTTTGCAGAATCACCAAGTGGATATTTGGAGAGCTTTGGGGCCTGATTTGGAAAATGAAATATCTTCAAAGTAAAACTACACAGAACCATTCTGAGAAACTTCTTTATGATGTGTGCATTCAACTCTCAGAGTTGAACCTACCTTATGATTGACCAATTTGGAAACACTCTTTTTGTAGAGCCTGCAAGTGGATATTTAGAACGATTTGAGGCCTATTGTGGAAAAGCAAATATCTTCACATAAAAACTACACAGAAGCATTCTGAGAAACTTCTTTGGCATGTGTGCATTCAACTAACAGTGTTGAACGTATCTTTTGATTGAGCAGCTTAGAATCTCTCTTTTTGTAGAAAATGCAAGTAGATATTTGGAGCCCCATTTTGCCCTATGGTAGAAAACAAAACATCTTCACATAAAATCTACACAGAAGCATTCTGAGAATCTTCTTTGTGATGTTTGCATTGAACTCACCAGAGTCGAACCTATCTTTTGATAGAGCAGTTTTGTATCTCTCTTTTTGCAGAATCTGCAAGTGGATATTTGGAAAGCTTGAGGCCTATTGTGAAAAAGGAAATATCTTCACATAGAAACTACAGAGAAGCATTCTGAGAAACTTCTTTGTGAGGCATGGATTCAACCCACAGAGTTGGACTTATCATTGAGCAGTTTTGAATCTCTCTTTTTGTCGAATCTGCAAGTGGATATTTGGAGCCCTTTGCAACCTAGGGTGGAAAAGGAAATACCTTCAAATAAAAACTATATAGAAGCATTCTGAAAAACTTCTTTGTGATGTGTGCATTCTTCTCACAGGGTTGAACCTATCTAATGACTGAGCAGTTTTGAAACACTCATTTTGTAGGAACCGCAAGTGGATATTTGGTGCGTTTGAGGGCTTCGTGGAAAAGCAAATACCTTCACATAAAAACTACACAGAAGCATTCTGAGAAACTTCTTTGTGATGTGTGCATTCATCTCACAGTGTTGGACGTTTCTTTTGATTGAGCAGTTTTGAAACACTCTTTTTGTAGAATCTGCAAGTGGATATTTGGAGCGCTTTGAGGCCTAATGTGGAAAATCAAATATCTTCACATAAAAACTACACAAAGGCATTCTGAGAAACTTCTTTGTTTTGTGTGCATTCAACTCACATAGTTGAAGTTATCTTTTGATTGAGATGCTTTGAATCTCCTTTTTGCAAAATCTGCACGTGGATATTTGGAACCCTATTTCACCCTATAGTGGAAAAGCAGATATCTTCACATAAACAAACACTACACAGAAGCATTCAGAGAAAGTTCTTTGTGATGTGTGCATTGAACATGCAGAGTTGAAACTATATTTTCATTGTACAGTTTTGAATATCTCTTTTTGTAGAATCTGCAAGTGGAAGTTTGGAGCTCTTTGCACCCTGTGGTGTAAAAGGAAATATCTTCATATAAAAACTACACAGAAGCATTCAGAGACTTCTTTGTGACGAATGCATTCCTCACACAGAGTTGAACCTTTCTTTTTATTGAGTAGTATTGAAACCTTCTTTTTGCAGAATCACCAATTGGATATTTGGAGAGCTTTGAGGCCTGTTTTGGAAAAGGAAATATCTTCAAATTAAAACTACACAGAAGCATTCTGAGAAACTTCTTTGGGATTTGTGCATTCAACTCTCAGAGTTGAACCTATCTTATGATTCAGCAGTTTGGAAACACTCTTTTTGTAGAATCTACAAGTGGATACTTAGAGCGATTTGAGGTCTACTGTGGAAAAGCAAATATCTTCACATAAAAACAACACAGAAGCACTCTGAGAAACTTCTTTGTGATGTGTGATTTCAACTCACAGAGATGAACCTATCTTCTGATGGAGTAGTTTAGAATCTCTCTTTTTTTAGAATCTGCAAGTGGATATTTGGAGCGCTTTGAGACCTACTGTGGAAAAGCAAATATCTTCACATAAAAACTAGACAGAGGCACTCTAAGAAACTTCTTTTTGATGTGTGCATTCACCTCACAGAGCTGAACCGATCCTTCGAGTGACCAGTTTTGAATCTCTCTTTTTATACAATCTGCAAGTGGATATTTGGAGCCCTTTGCGGCCTATGGTGGAAAAGGAAATATCTTCAAATAAAAACTACACAGAAGAAACTTCTTTGTTATGTGAGCATTCAACTCACAGAGTTGAACCTATCTTTTGATTGAGCAGTTTTGAATCTCTCATTTTGCAGAATCTGCAAGGGGATATTTGGAGCCCTTTGCGGCCTATGGTGGAAAAGGAAATACCTTCAAATGAAAAGCACACAGAGGCATTCTGAGAAACTTCCTCGTGATTGTGCATTCAACTCACAGAGTTAAACCTATCTTATGATTGACCAGTTTTGGAACACTCTTTTCATAGGATCTGCAAGTGGATATTTGGCGTGCTTTGAGGCCTATCGTGGAAAAGCAAACTATACAGAAGCATTCTGAGAAACTTCTTTGTGATGTGTGCATTGATCTCACAGAGTTGAAAGTGTATTTTGATTGAGCAGTTTTGAAACACTCTTTTTGTAGAATCTGCAAGTGGATAATTGGGGAGATTTGAGGTATATTGTGGAAAAGCAAGTATCTTCATATAAAAACTATACAGAAGCTTTCTGAGAAACATCTTTGTGAGGTTTGCATTCAACTCACAGAGCTGGAACTATCTTTTGAGTGACCAGTTTTGAATCTCTCTTTTTGTACAATCTGCAAGTGGATATTTGGAGCGTTTTGAGGCCTACATTTGAAAATCAAATATCTTCCCTTAAAAGCTACACAGAAGCATTCTCAGAAATTGTTTGTCATGTGTGCTTCCTAATCACCGAGTTGAACCTATCTTGTGATTGAACAGTTTTGAATCTCTCTTTTTGTAGAATCTGCAAGTGGATATTTTTAGTCCTTTGCAGACTGTGGTGGAAAAGGAATGATCTTGAAATCAATTCTACACAGTAGCATTCAGACAAACTTCTTTGTGATGAGTGCATTCGTCACACAGAGTTGATCCTTTCCTTTGATTGAGCAACTCTGAAACACTCTTTTAGAGGGTCTGCAAGTGGATATTTTAGAGCTTTGGGACAATTGTGGAAAAGTAAATATCTTCACATAAAAACTACACAGAAGCATTCTGAGAAACTTCTTTGTGAGATGTGCATTCAACTCAGAGTTGAACCTATCTTTTCATTGAGCAGTTTTGAATCTCTCTTTTTGTAGACTCTGCTTGCGGATATTTGGAGAGCTTTGAGGCCTATTGTGGAAAAGGAAATATCTTCACATAAAAACGTACAGAAGCATTCTGAGAAACTTCTTTGTGAGGTGTGCATTCAACCACAGAAATTGAACCTATCTTTTGATTGAGAAGTTTTGAATCTCTCTTTTTGTAGAAGCTGTATGTGGATATTTGGAGACGTTTGTGGCCTATGGTGGAAAAGGAAATACCTTGAAATAAAAACTAGACAGAAGCATTTTGAGAAATTTCTCTGTGCTGTGTGCATTCATATCACATGGTTGAAACTACCTTTTGATTGAGCAGTTTTGAATCTCTCTTTTTGTACCATCTGCAATGGATATTTGGAGCCCTTTGTGGTCTGTGGTGGAAAAGGAACTATCCTCAAATAAAAACTACACAGAAGTATTCCGAGAAACTTCCTTGTGATGTGTGCATTCATCTCATAGGGTTGAACCTTTGGTTTGATTGAGCAGTTTTGAGACAATCTTTCCATAGAATCTGGAAGTGAATATTTGGAGAACCTTGAGATCTATTTTGGAGAAGGAGATATCTTTATATAAAAACTGCACAGAAGCATTCTGAGAAACATCTTTGTGAGGTGTGCAATGAAGTCACAGAGTTGAAACTATGTTTTGATTCAGCAGTTTTGAGTCTCTCTTTTTACAGAATCTGCGAGTGGATATCTGGAGAACTTGGAGGCCTATTTGGAAAAGGAAATATCTTCACATATAAACTATGCAGAAGCATTTTGAGATTCTTCTTTGTGAGGTGTGCATGCAACTCACAGAGTTGAACTTATCTTTTCCTTGAGCACTTTCATATCTCATTTTCTGTAGAATCTGCAAGTGGATATTTGGAGCTCTTTGCACCCTGTGGTGGAAAGGGAACTATTTTCATATAAAAACTACAAAGAAGCATTCAGAGAAACTTCTTTGTGATGAATGCATTCCTCACACAGAGCTGAACGTTTCTTTTTATTGAGCAGTATTGAAACGCTCTTTTTGCAGAATCACCAAGTGGATATTTGGAGAGCTTTGGGGCCTGTTTTGGAAAATGAAATATCTTCAAAGTAAAACTACACAGAACCATTCTGAGAAACTTCTTTATGATGTGTGCATTCAACTCTCAGAGTTGAACCTACCTTATGATTGACCAATTTGGAAACACTCTTTTTGTAGAGCCTGCAAGTGGATATTTAGAACGATTTGAGGCCTATTGTGGAAAAGCAAATATCTTCACATAAAAACTACACAGAAGCATTCTCAGAGACTTCTTTGGGATGTGTGCATTCAACTAACAGTGTTGAACCTATCTTTTGATTGAGCAGCTTAGAATCTCTCCTTTTGTAGAAAATGCAAGTAGAGATTTGGAGCCCCATTTCGCCCTATGGTAGAAAACAGAACATCTTCACATAAAAACTACGCAGAAGCATTCTGAGAAACTTCTTTGTGATGTTTGCATTGAACTCCCAGAGTCGAACCTATCTTTTGATAGAGCACTTTTGTATCTCTCTTTTTGCGGAATCTGCAAGTGGATATTTGGAAAGCTTGAGGCCTATTGTGAAAAAGGAAATATCTTCACATAAAAACTACAGAGAAGCATTCTGAGAAACTTCTTTGTGAGGCATGGATTCAACCCACAGAGTTGGACTTATCATTGAGCAGTTTTGAATCTCTCTTTTTGTCGAATCTGCAAGTGGATATTTGGAGCCCTTTGCAACCTAGGGTGGAAAAGGAAATACCTTCAAATAAAAACTATATAGAAGCATTCCGTAAAACTTCTTTGTGATGTGTGCATTCGTCTCACAGAGTTGAACCTATCTAATGATTGAGCGGTTTTGAAACACTCATTTTGTAGAACCTGCAAGTGGATATTGGGAGTACTTTGTGGCCTTCTTTGGAAAAGGGAATATCTTCACATAAAAACTACAAAGAAGCATTCTGAGAAACTTCTTTGTGATGTGCGCATTCATCTCACAGTGTTGGACGTTTCTTTTGATAGGGCAGTTTTGAAACACTCTTTTTTTAGAATCTGCAAGTGGATATTTGGAGCGCTTTGAGGCCTAATGTGGAAAATCAAATATCTTCACATAAAAACTACACAGAGGCATTCTGAGAAACTTCTTTTTTGTGTGTGCATTCAACTCACATAGTTGAAGTAATCTTTGGATTTAGCTGTTTTGAATCTCCTTTTTGCAGAATCTGCAAGTTGATACTTGGAGCCCTGTTTCACCCTATAGTGGAAAAGCAAATATCTTCACATAAACAAACCCTACAGAGAAGCATTCAGAGAAAGTCCTTTGTGATGTGTGCATTGAACATGCAGAGTTGACACTATCTTTTGATTGTACAGTTTTGAATACGTCTTTTTGTAGAATCTGCAAGTGGAAGTTTGGAGCTGTTTGCACCCTGTGGTGTAAAAGGAAATATCTTCATATAAAAGCTACACAGAAGCATTCAGAAAGACTTCTTTGTGATGAATGCGTTCCTCACACAGAGTTGAATCTTCCTTTTTATTGAGTAGTATTGAAACCCTCTTTTTGCAGAATAACCAGGTGGATATTTGGAGAGCTTTGAGGCCTGTTTTGGAAAAGCAAATATCTTCAAATTAAAACCACACAGAAGCATTCTGAGAAGCTTCTTTGTGATGTGTGCATTCAACTCTCAGAGTTCAACGTGTCTTATGATGGAGCAGTTTGGAAACACTCTTTTTTGTAGAAACTGCAAGTGGATATGTAGAGCGATTTGAGGCCTACTGTGGAAAAGCAAATATCTTCACATAACAACTACACAGAAGCACTCCTAGAAACTTCTTTGTGATGTGTGAATTCAACTCACAGAGCTGAACCTATCTTTTGATGGAGTAGCTTAGAATCTCTCTTTTTTTAGAATCTGCACGTGGATATTTGGAGCGCTTTGAGACCTAAAGTGGAAAAGCAAATATCTTCACATAAAATCTACATAGAGGCACTCTAAGAAACTTCTTTTTGATGTGTGCATTCACCTCACAGAGCTGAACCGATCCTTCGAGTGACCAGTTTTGAATCTCTCTTTTTATACAATCTGCAAGTGGATATTTGGAGCCCTTTGCGGCCTATGGTGGAAAAGGAAATATCTTCAAATAAAAACTACACAGAAGAAACTTCTTTGTTATGTGAGCATTCAACTCACAGAGTTGAACCTATCTTTTGATTGAGCAGTTTTGAATCTCTCATTTTGCAGAATCTGCAAGGGGATATTTGGAGCCCTTTGCGGCCTATGGTGGAAAAGGAAATACCTTCAAATGAAAAGCACACAGAGGCATTCTGAGAAACTTCCTCGTGATTGTGCATTCAACTCACAGAGTTAAACCTATCTTATGATTGACCAGTTTTGGAACACTCTTTTCATAGGATCTGCAAGTGGATATTTGGCGTGCTTTGAGGCCTATCGTGGAAAAGCAAATAACTTCAGATAAAAACTATACAGAAGCATTCTGAGAAACTTCTTTGTGATGTGTGCATTGATCTCACAGAGTTGAAAGTGTATTTTGATTGAGCAGTTTTGAAACACTCTTTTTGTAGAATCTGCAAGTGGATAATTGGGGAGATTTGAGGTATATTGTGGAAAAGCAAGTATCTTCATATAAAAACTATACAGAAGCTTTCTGAGAAACCTCTTTGTGAGGTTTGCATTCAACTCACAGAGCTGGAACTATCTTTTGAGTGACCAGTTTTGAATCTCTCTTTTTGTACAATCTGCAAGTGGATATTTGGAGCGTTTTGAGGCCTACATTTGAAAATCAAATATCTTCCCTTAAAAGCTACACAGAAACATTCTCAGAAATTGTTTGTCATGTGTGCTTTCAAATTACCAAGTTGAACCTACCTTGTGATTGAGCAGTTTTGAATCTCTCTTTTTGTGGAATCTGCAAGTGGATATTTTTAGCCATTTGCGGACTGTGGTGGAAAAGGAATTATCTTCAAATCCATTCTACACAGAAGCATTCAGACAAACTTTTTGTGATGAGTGCATTGGTCACACAGAATTGAACCTCTCCTTTGATTGAGCAATTCTGAAACACTCTTTCAGAGGGTCTGCAAGTGGATATTTTAGAGCTTTGGGACAATTGTGGAAAAGTAAATATCTTCACATAGAAACTACACGGAAGCATTCTGAGAAACTTCTTTGGAGGTGTGCATTCAACTCACAGAGTTGAACCTATCTTTTCATTGAGCAGTTTTGAATCTCTCTTTTTGTAGACTCTGCTTGCAGATACTTGGAGAGCTTTGAGGCCTATTGTGGAAAAGGAATCATCTTCACATAAAAACACACAGAAGCACTCTGAGAAACTTCTTTGTGAAGTGTGCATTCAACTCACAGAGTTGAACCTATCTTTTGATTGAGAAGCTTTGAATCTCTCTTTTTGTAGAAGCTGCATGTGGATATTTGGAGACGTTTGTGGCCTATGGTAGAAAAGGCAATATCTTCAAATAAAAACTAGACAGAAGCATTTTGAGAAATTTCTCTGTGCTGTGTGCATTCATATCACATGGTTGAAACTACCTTTTGATTGAGCAGTTTTGAATCTCTCTTTTTGTACCATCTGCAATGGATATTTGGAGCCCTTTGTGGTCTGTGGTGGAAAAGGAACTATCCTCAAATAAAAACTACACAGAAGTATTCCGAGAAACTTCCTTGTGATGTGTGCATTCATCTCATAGGGTTGAACCTTTGGTTTGATTGAGCAGTTTTGAGACAATCTTTCCATAGAATCTGGAAGTGAATATTTGGAGAACCTTGAGATCTATTTTGGAGAAGGAGATATCTTTATATAAAAACTGCACAGAAGCATTCTGAGAAACATCTTTGTGAGGTGTGCAATGAAGTCACAGAGTTGAAACTATGTTTTGATTCAGCAGTTTTGAGTCTCTCTTTTTGCAGAATCTGCGAGTGGATATCTGGAGAACTTGGAGGCCTATTTGGAAAAGGAAATATCTTCACATATAAACTATGCAGAAGCATTTTGAGATTCTTCTTTGTGAGGTGTGCATGCAACTCACAGAGTTGAACTTATCTTTTCCTTGAGCACTTTCATATCTCATTTTCTGTAGAATCTGCAAGTGGATATTTGGAGCTCTTTGCACCCTGTGGTGGAAAGGGAACTATCTTCATATAAAAACTACAAAGAAGCATTCAGAGAAACTTCTTGTGATGAATGCATTCCTCACACAGAGCTGAACCTTTCTTTTTATTGAGCAGTAACGAACGCTCTTTTTGCAGAATCACCAAGTGGATATTTGGAGAGCTTTGGGGCCTGTTTTGGAAAATGAAATATCTTCAAAGTAAAACTACACAGAACCATTCTGAGAAACTTCTTTATGATGTGTGCATTCAACTCTCAGAGTTGAACCTACCTTATGATTGAGCAATTTGGAAACACTCTTTTTGTAGAGCCTGCAAGTGGATATTTAGAACGATTTGAGGCCTATTGTGGAAAAGCAAATATCTTCACATAAAAACTACACAGAAGCATTCTGAGAAACTTCTTTGGCATGTGTGCATTCAACTAACAGTGTTGAACGTATCTTTTGATTGAGCAGCTTAGAATCTCTCTTTTTGTAGAAAATGCAAGTAGATATTTGGAGCCCCATTTTGCCCTATGGTAGAAAACAGAACATCTTCACATAAAAACTACACAGAAGCATTCTGAGAAACTTCTTTGTGATGTTTGCATTGAACTCCCAGAGTCGAACCTATCTTTTGATAGAGCACTTTTGTATCTCTCTTTTTGCGGAATCTGCAAGTGGATATTTGGAAAGCTTGAGGCCTATTGTGAAAAAGGAAATATCTTCACATAAAAACTACAGAGAAGCATTCTGAGTAAACTTCTCTGTGAGGCATGGATTCAACCCACAGAGTTGGACTTATCATTGAGCAGTTTTGAATCTCTCTTTTGGTCGAATCTGCAAGTGGATATTTGGAGCCCTTTTGCAACCTATGGTGGAAAAGGAAACACCTTCACATAAAAACTATATAGAAGCATTCCGAAAAACTTCTTTGTGATGTGTGCATTCATCTCACAGAGTTGAACCTATCTAATGATTGAGCAGTTTTGAAACACTCATTTTGTAGAACCTGGAAGTGGATATTGGGAGTAGTTTGTGGCCTTCTTTGGAAAAGGAAATATCTTCACATGAAAACTACAAAGAAGCATTCTGAGAAACTTCTTTGTGATGTGTGCATGCATCTCACAGTGTTGGACGTTTCTTTTGATGGGGCAGTTTCGAAAGAGTCTTCTTGTAGAGTCTGCAAGTGGATATTTGGAGCGCTTTGAGGCCTAATGTGGAAAATCAAATATCTTCACATAAAAACTACACAGAGGCATTCTGAGAAACTTCTTTTTTGTGTGTGCATTCAACTCACATAGTTGAAGTAATCTTTGGATTTAGCTGTTTTGAATCTCCTTTTTGCAGAATCTGCAAGTTGATACTTGGAGCCCTGTTTCACCCTATAGTGGAAAAGCAAATATCTTCACATAAACAAACCCTACAGAGAAGCATTCAGAGAAAGTCCTTTGTGATGTGTGCATTGAACATGCAGAGTTGACACTATCTTTTGATTGTACAGTTTTGAATACGTCTTTTTGTAGAATCTGCAAGTGGAAGTTTGGAGCTGTTTGCACCCTGTGGTGTAAAAGGAAATATCTTCATATAAAAGCTACACAGAAGCATTCAGAAAGACTTCTTTGTGATGAATGCGTTCCTCACACAGAGTTGAATCTTCCTTTTTATTGAGTAGTATTGAAACCCTCTTTTTGCAGAATAACCAGGTGGATATTTGGAGAGCTTTGAGGCCTGTTTTGGAAAAGGAAATATCTTCAAATTAAAACCACACAGAAGCATTCTGAGAAGCTTCTTTGTGATGTGTGCATTCAACTCTCAGAGTTGAACGTGTCTTATGATGGAGCAGTTTGGAAACACTCTTTTTGTAGAAACTGCAAGTGGATATGTAGAGCGATTTGAGGCCTACTGTGGAAAAGCAAATATCTTCACATAACAACTACACAGAAGCACTCCTAGAAACTTCTTTGTGATGTGTGAATTCAACTCACAGAGCTGAACCTATCTTTTGATGGAGTAGCTTAGAATCTCTCTTTTTTTAGAATCTGCACGTGGATATTTGGAGCGCTTTGAGACCTAAAGTGGAAAAGCAAATATCTTCACATAAAATCTACATAGAGGCACTCTAAGAAACTTCTTTTTGATGTGTGCATTCACCTCACAGAGCTGAACCGATCCTTTGAGTGACCAGTTTTGAATCTCTCTTTTTATACAATCTGCAAGTGGATATTTGGAGCCCTTTGCGGCCTATGGTGGAAAAGGAAATATCTTCAAATAAAAACTACACAGAAATACTGTGAGAAACTTCTTTGTTATGTGAGCATTCAACTCACAGAGTTGAACCTATCTTTTGATTGAGCAGTTTTGAATCTCTCATTTTGCAGAATCTGCAAGGGGATATTTGGAGCCCTTTGCGGCCTATGGTGGAAAAGGAAATACCTTCAAATGAAAAGCACACAGAGGCATTCTGAGAAACTTCCTCGTGATTGTGCATTCAACTCACAGAGTTAAACCTATCTTATGATTGACCAGTTTTGGAACACTCTTTTCATAGGATCTGCAAGTGGATATTTGGCGTGCTTTGAGGCCTATCGTGGAAAAGCAAATAACTTCAGATAAAAACTATACAGAAGCATTCTGAGAAACTTCTTTGTGATGTGTGCATTGATCTCACAGAGTTGAAAGTGTATTTTGATTGAGCAGTTTTGAAACACTCTTTTTGTAGAATCTGCAAGTGGATAATTGGGGAGATTTGAGGTATATTGTGGAAAAGCAAGTATCTTCATATAAAAACTATACAGAAGCCTTCTGAGAAACATCTTTGTGAGGTTTGCATTCAACTCACAGAGCTGGACCTATCTCTTGAGTGACCAGTTTTGAATCTCTCTTTTTGTTCAATCTGCAAGTGGATATTTGGAGCGATTTGAGGCCTACATTTGAAAATCAAATATCTTCCCTCAAAACCTACACAGAAACATTCTCAGAAATTGTTTGTCATGTGGGCTTTCAAATTACCAAGTTGAACCTATCTTGTGATTGAGCAGTTCTGAATCTCTCTTTTTGTGGAATCTGCAAATGGATATTTTTAGCCCTTTGCGGACTGTGGTGGAAAAGGAATTATCTTCAAATCCATTCTACACAGAAGCATTCAGACAAACTTCTTGGTGATGAGTGCATTGGTCACACAGAATTGAACCTCTCCTTTGATTGAGCAATTCTGAAACACTCTTTCAGAGGGTCTGCAAGTGGATATTTTAGAGCTTTGGGACAATTGTGGAAAAGTAAATATCTTCACATAAAAACTACACGGAAGCATTCTGAGAAACTTCTTTGGAGGTGTGCATTCAACTCACAGAGTTGAACCTATCTTTTCATTGAGCAGTTTTGAATCTCTCTTTTTGTAGACTCTGCTTGCAGATACTTGGAGAGCTTTGAGGCCTATTGTGGAAAAGGAATCATCTTCACATAAAAACACACAGAAGCACTCTGAGAAACTTCTTTGTGAAGTGTGCATTCAACTCACAGAGTTGAACCTATCTTTTGATTGAGAAGCTTTGAATCTCTCTTTTTGTAGAAGCTGCATGTGGATATTTGGAGACGTTTGTGGCCTATGGTAGAAAAGGCAATATCTTCAAATAAAAACTAGACAGAAGCATTTTGAGAAAATTCTCTGTGCTGTGTGCATTCATATCACATGGTTGAAACTACCTTTTGATTGAGCAGTTTCGAGTCTCTCTGTTTGTACCATCTGCAATGGATATTTGGAGCCCTTTGTGGTCTGTGGTGGAAAAGGAACTATCCTCAAATAAAAACTACACGGAAGTATTCTGAGAAACTTCTTTGTGATGTGTGCATTTATCTCACAGAGTTGAACCTTTGGTTTGATTGAGCAGTTTTGAGATAATCTTTCCATAGAATCTGGAAGTGAATACTTGGATAACTTTGAGATCTATTTTGGAGAAGGAGATATCTTTATATAAAAACTGCACAGAAGCATTCTGAGAAACATCTTTGTGAGGTGTGCAATGAAGTCACAGAGTTGAAACTATCTTTTGATTCAGCAGTTTTGAGTCTCTCTTTTTGCAGAATCTGCGAGTGGATATCTGGAGAACGTTGAGGCCTACTTGGAAAAGGAAATATCTTCACATAAAAACTACGCAGAAGCATTTTGAGATACTTCTTTGTGAGGTGTGCATTCAACTCACAGAGTTGAACTTATCTTTCCATGGAGCACTTTCATATCTCTTTTTTTGTGGAATCTGCAAGTGGATATTTGGAGCTCTTTGCACCCTGTGGTGGAAAGGGAAATATCTTCATATAAAAACTACAAAGAAGCATTCAGAGAAACTTCTTGTGATGAATGCATTCCTCACACAGAGCTGAACCTTTCGTTTTATTGAGCAGTTTTTAAACGATCTTTTTGAAGAATCACCAAGTGGATATTTGGAGAGCTTTGGGGCCTGTTTTGGAAAATGAAATATCTTCAAAGTAAAACTACACAGAACCATTCTGAAAAACTTCTTTAAGATGTGTTCATTCAACTCTCAGAGTTGAACCTATCTTATGATTGAGCAATTTGGAAACACTCTTTTTGTAGAGCCTGCAAGTGGATATTTAGAACGATTTGAGGCCTATTGTGGAAAAGCAAATATCTTCACATAAAAACTACACAGAAGCATTCTGAGAAACTTCTTTGGGATGTGTGCATTCAACTCTCAGAGTTGAACGTATCTTATGATGGAGCAGTTTGGAAACACTCTTTTTGTAGAAACTGCAAGTGGATATTTAGAGCGATTTGAGGCCTACTGTGGAAAAGCAAATATCTTCCCATAACAACTACACAGAAGCACTCCTAGAAACTTCTTTGTGATGTGTGAATTCCACTCACAGAGCTGAACCTATCTTTTGATGGAGTAGCTTAGAATCTCTCTTTTTTTAGAATCTGCAAGTCGATATTTGGAGCGCTTTGAGACCTAAAGTGGAAAAGAAAATATCTTCATATAAAATCTACATAGAGGCACTCTAAGAAACTTCTTTTTGATGTGTGCATTCAACTCACAGAGCTGAACCTGTCTTTTGAGTGACCAGTTTTGCATCTCACTTTTTGTACAATCTGCAAGTGGATATTTGGAGCCATTTGCGGCCTTTGGTGGAAAAGGAAATATCTTCAAATAAAAACCACACAGAAACATTCTGTGAAACTTCTTTGTGATGTGTACATTCAACTAACAGTGTTGAACATATCTTTTGATTGAGCAGCTTAGAATCTCTCTCTTTGTAGAAAATGCAAGTAGATATTTGGAGCCCCATTTCGCCCTGTGGTAGAAAACAAAACATGTTCACATAAAAACTACACAGAAGCATTCTGAGATACTTCTTTGTGATGTTTGCATTGAACTCACAGAGTCGAACCTATCTTTTGATAGAGCAGTTTTGTATCCCTTTTTTTGCAGAATCTGCAAGTGGATATTTGGAAAGCATGAGGCTTATTGTGAAAAAGGAAATATCTTCACATAAAAACTACAAAGAAGCATTCTGAGAAACTTCTTTGTGAGGCATGGATTCAACCCACAGCAGTTGGACTTATCATTGAGCAGTTTTGAATCTCTCTTTTTGTCGAATCTGCAAGTGGATATTTGGAGCCCTTTGCAACCTAGGGTGGAAAAGGAAATACCTTCAAATAAAAACTATATAGAAGCATTCCGTAAAACTTCTTTGTGATGTGTGCATTCGTCTCACAGAGTTGAACCTATCTAATGATTGAGCGGTTTTGAAACACTCATTTTGTAGAACCTGCAAGTGGATATTGGGAGTACTTTGTGGCCTTCTTTGGAAAAGGGAATATCTTCACATAAAAACTACAAAGAAGCATTCTGAGAAACTTCTTTGTGATGTGTGCATTCATCTCACAGTGTTGGACGTTTCTTTTGATAGGGCAGTTTTGAAACACTCTTTTTCTAGAATCTGCAAGTGGATATTTGGAGCGCTTTGAGGCCTAATGTGGAAAATCAAATATCTTCACATAAAAACTACACAGAGGCATTCTGAGAAACTTCTTTTTTGTGTGTGCATTCAACTCACATAGTTGAAGTAATCTTTGGATTTAGCTGTTTTGAATCTCCTTTTTGCAGAATCTGCAAGTTGATACTTGGAGCCCTGTTTTACCCTATAGTGGAAAAGCAAATATCTTCACATAAACAAACCCTACAGAGAAGCATTCAGAGAAAGTCCTTTGTGATGTGTGCATTGAACATGCACAGTTGACACTATCTTTTGATTGTACAGTTTTGAATACGTCTTTTTGTAGAATCTGCAAGTGGAAGTTTGGAGCTGTTTGCACCCTGTGGTGTAAAAGGAAATATCTTCATATAAAAGCTACACAGAAGCATTCAGAAAGACTTCTTTGTGATGAATGCGTTCCTCACACAGAGTTGAATCTTCCTTTTTATTGAGTAGTATTGAAACCCTCTTTTTGCAGAATAACCAGGTGGATATTTGGAGAGCTTTGAGGCCTGTTTTGGAAAAGCAAATATCTTCAAATTAAAACCACACAGAAGCATTCTGAGAAGCTTCTTTGTGATGTGTGCATTCAACTCTCAGAGTTCAACGTGTCTTATGATGGAGCAGTTTGGAAACACTCTTTTTTGTAGAAACTGCAAGTGGATATGTAGAGCGATTTGAGGCCTACTGTGGAAAAGCAAATATCTTCACATAACAACTACACAGAAGCACTCCTAGAAACTTCTTTGTGATGTGTGAATTCAACTCACAGAGCTGAACCTATCTTTTGATGGAGTAGCTTAGAATCTCTCTTTTTTTAGAATCTGCACGTGGATATTTGGAGCGCTTTGAGACCTAAAGTGGAAAAGCAAATATCTTCACATAAAATCTACATAGAGGCACTCTAAGAAACTTCTTTTTGATGTGTGCATTCACCTCACAGAGCTGAACCGATCCTTCGAGTGACCAGTTTTGAATCTCTCTTTTTATACAATCTGCAAGTGGATATTTGGAGCCCTTTGCGGCCTATGGTGGAAAAGGAAATATCTTCAAATAAAAACTACACAGAAATACTGTGAGAAACTTCTTTGTTATGTGAGCATTCAACTCACAGAGCTGAACCTATCTTTTGATTGAGCAGTTTTGAATCTCTCATTTTGCAGAATCTGCAAGGGGATATTTGGAGCCCTTTGCTACCTAGGGTGGAAAAGGAAATACCTCCAAATAAAAACTACACAGAGGCATTCTGAGAAACTTCCTCGTGATTGTGCATTCAACTCACAGAGTTAAACCTATCTTATGATTGACCAGTTTTGGAACACTCTTTTCATAGGATCTGCAAGTGGATATTTGGCGTGCTTTGAGGCCTATCGTGGAAAAGCAAATAACTTCAGATAAAAACTATACAGAAGCATTCTGAGAAACTTCTTTGTGATGTGTGCATTGATCTCACAGAGTTGAAAGTGTATTTTGATTGAGCAGTTTTAAAACACTCCTTCTGTAGAATCTGCAAGTGGATAATTGGAGAGATTTGAGGTATGTTGTGGAAAAGCAAATATCTTCATATAAAAACTATACAGAAGCTTTCTGAGAAACATCTTTGTGAGGTTTGCATTCAACTCACAGAGCTGGAACTATCTTTTGAGTGACCAGTTTTGAATCTCTCTTTTTGTACAATCTGCAAGTGGATATTTGGAGCGTTTTGAGGCCTACATTTGAAAATCAAATATCTTCCCTTAAAAGCTACACAGAAACATTCTCAGAAATTGTTTGTCATGTGTGCTTTCAAATTACCAAGTTGAACCTACCTTGTGATTGAGCAGTTTTGAATCTCTCTTTTTGTGGAATCTGCAAGTGGATATTTTTAGCCATTTGCGGACTGTGGTGGAAAAGGAATTATCTTCAAATCCATTCTACACAGAAGCATTCAGACAAACTTTTTGTGATGAGTGCATTGGTCACACAGAATTGAACCTCTCCTTTGATTGAGCAATTCTGAAACACTCTTTCAGAGGGTCTGCAAGTGGATATTTTAGAGCTTTGGGACAATTGTGGAAAAGTAAATATCTTCACATAAAAACTACACGGAAGCATTCTGAGAAACTTCTTTGGAGGTGTGCATTCAACTCACAGAGTTGAACCTATCTTTTCATTGAGCAGTTTTGAATCTCTCTTTTTGTAGACTCTGCTTGCAGATATTTGGAGAGCTTTGAGGCCTATTGTGGAAAAGGGAATATGTTCACATAAAAACACACAGAAGCACTCTGAGAAACTTCTTTGTGAAGTGTGCATTCAACTCACAGAGTTGAACCTATCTTTTGATTGAGAAGCGTTGAATCTCTCTTTTTGTAGAAGCTGCATGTGGATATTTGGAGACGTTTGTGGCCTATGGTAGAAAAGGCAATATCTTCAAATAAAAACTAGACAGAAGCATTTTGAGAAATTTCTCTGTGCTGTGTGCATTCATATCACATGGTTGAAACTACCTTTTGGTTGAGCAGTTTTGAATCTCTCTTTTTGTAACATCTGCAATGGATATTTGGAGCCCTTTGTGGTCTGTGGTGGAAAAGGAACTATCCTCAAATAAAAACTACACAGAAGTATTCCGAGAAACTTCCTTGTGATGTGTGCATTCATCTCACAGGGTTGAACCTTTGGTTTGATTGAGCAGTTTTGAGACAATCTTTCCATAGAATCTGGAAGTGAATATTTGGAGAACCTTGAGATCTATTTTGGAGAAGGAGATATCTTTATATGAAAACTGCACAGAAGCATTCTGAGAAACATCTTTGTGAGGTGTGCAATGAAGTCACAGAGTTGAAACTATGTTTTGATTCAGCAGTTTTGAGTCTCTCTTTTTGCAGAATCTGCGAGTGGATATCTGGAGAACTTGGAGGCCTATTTGGAAAAGGAAATATCTTCACATATAAACTATGCAGAAGCATTTTGAGATACTTCTTTGTGAGGTGTGCATTCAACTCACAGAGTTGAACTTATCTTTCCATGGAGCACTTTCATATCTCTTTTTTTGTGGAATCTGCAAGTGGATATTTGGAGCTCTTTGCACCCTGTGGTGGAAAGGGAAATATCTTCATATAAAAACTACAAAGAAGCATTCAGAGAAACTTCTTTGTGATGAATGCATTCCTCACACAGAGCTGAACGTTTCTTTTTATTGAGCAGTATTGAAACGCTCTTTTTGCAGAATCACCAAGTAGATATTTGGAGAGCTTTGGGGCCTGTTTTGGAAAATGAAATATCTTCAAAGTAAAACTACACAGAACCATTCTGAGAAACTTCTTCATGATGTGAGCATTCAACTCTCAGAGTTGAAGCTACCTTATGATTG
The DNA here is from genome assembly GCF_000001405.40 of Homo sapiens. Taxonomy (NCBI): domain Eukaryota; kingdom Metazoa; phylum Chordata; class Mammalia; order Primates; family Hominidae; genus Homo; species Homo sapiens. The sequence continues at coordinate 17,463,039 of NC_000015.10, forward strand.
AGCAATTTGGAAACACTCTTTTTGTAGAGCCTGCAAGTGGATATTTAGAACGATTTGAGGCCTATTGTGGAAAAGCAAATATCTTCACATAAAAACTACACAGAAGCATTCTGAGAAACTTCTTTGGCATGTGTGCATTCAACTAACAGTGTTGAACGTATCTTTTGATTGAGCAGCTTAGAATCTCTCTTTTTGTAGAAAATGCAAGTAGATATTTGGAGCCCCATTTTGCCCTATGGTAGAAAACAAAACATCTTCACATAAAATCTACACAGAAGCATTCTGAGAAACTTCTTTGTGATGTTTGCATTGAACTCCCAGAGTCGAACCTATCTTTTGATAGAGCACTTTTGTATCTCTCTTTTTGCGGAATCTGCAAGTGGATATTTGGAAAGCTTGAGGCCTGTTTTGGAAAAGCAAATATCTTCAAATTAAAACCACACAGAAGCATTCTGAGAAGCTTCTTTGTGATGTGTGCATTCAACTCTCAGAGTTCAACGTGTCTTATGATGGAGCAGTTTGGAAACACTCTTTTTTGTAGAAACTGCAAGTGGATATGTAGAGCGATTTGAGGCCTACTGTGGAAAAGCAAATATCTTCACATAACAACTACACAGAAGCACTCCTAGAAACTTCTTTGTGATGTGTGAATTCAACTCACAGAGCTGAACCTATCTTTTGATGGAGTAGCTTAGAATCTCTCTTTTTTTAGAATCTGCACGTGGATATTTGGAGCGCTTTGAGACCTAAAGTGGAAAAGCAAATATCTTCACATAAAATCTACATAGAGGCACTCTAAGAAACTTCTTTTTGATGTGTGCATTCACCTCACAGAGCTGAACCGATCCTTCGAGTGACCAGTTTTGAATCTCTCTTTTTATACAATCTGCAAGTGGATATTTGGAGCCCTTTGCGGCCTATGGTGGAAAAGGAAATATCTTCAAATAAAAACTACACAGAAATACTGTGAGAAACTTCTTTGTTATGTGAGCATTCAACTCACAGAGTTGAACCTATCTTTTGATTGAGCAGTTTTGAATCTCTCATTTTGCAGAATCTGCAAGGGGATATTTGGAGCCCTTTGCGGCCTATGGTGGAAAAGGAAATACCTTCAAATGAAAAGCACACAGAGGCATTCTGAGAAACTTCTTTGTGATTGTGCATTCAACTCACAGAATTAAACCTATCTTATGACTGACCAGTTTTGGAACACTCTTTTCATAGGATCTGCAAGTGGATATTTGGTGTGCTTTGAGGCCTATCGTGGGAAAGCAAATAACTTCAGATAAAAACTATACAGAAGCATTCTGAGAAACTTCTTTGTGATGTGTGCATTGATCTCACAGAGTTGAAAGTGTATTTTGATTGAGCAGTTTTGAAACACTCTTTTTGTAGAATCTGCAAGTGGATAATTGGGGAGATTTGAGGCATATTGTGGAAAAGCAAATATCTTCATATAAAAATTATACAGAAGCCTTCTGAGAAACATCTTTGTGAGGTTTGCATTCAACTCACAGAGCTGGACCTATCTTTTGAGTGACCAGTTTTGAAACTCTCTTTTTGTACAATCTGCAAGTGCATATTTGGAGCGATTTGAGGCCTACATTTGAAAATCAAATATCTTCCCTTAAAAACAACACAAACATTCTCAGAAATTGTTTGTCATGTGTGCTTTCAAATCACCAAGTTGAACCTATCTTGTGATTGAGCAGTTTTGAATCTCTCTTTTTGTGGAATCGGCAAGTGGATATTTTTAGCCCTTTGCGGACTGTGGTGGAAAAGGAATTATCTTCAAATCAATTCTACACAGAAAGCATTCAGACAAACTTCTTGGTGATGAGTGCATTGGTCACACAGAATTGAACCTCTCCTTTGATTGAGCAATTCTGAAACACTCTTTCAGAGGGTCTGCAAGTGGATATTTTAGAGCTTTGGGACAATTGTGGAAAAGTAAATATCTTCACATAGAAACTACACGGAAGCATTCTGAGAAACTTCTTTGGAGGTGTGCATTCAACTCACAGAGTTGAACCTATCTTTTCATTGAGCAGTTTTGAATCTCTCTTTTTGTAGACTCTGCTTGCAGATATTTGGAGAGCTTTGAGGCCTATTGTGGAAAAGGGAATATGTTCACATAAAAACACACAGAAGCACTCTGAGAAACTTCTTTGTGAGGTGTGCATTCAACTCACAGAGTTGAACCTATCTTTTGATGGAGAAGTCTTGAATCTCTCTTTTTGTAGAAGCTGCATGTGGATATTTGGAGACGTTTGTGGCCTATGGTAGAAAAGGATATATCTTCAAATAAAAACTAGACAGAAGCATTTTGAGAAAATTCTCTGTGCTGTGTGCATTCATATCACATGGTTGAAACTACCTTTTGATTGAGCAGTTTCGAGTCTCTCTGTTTGTACCATCTGCAATGGATATTTGGAGCCCTTTGTGGTCTGTGGTGGAAAAGGAACTATCCTCAAATAAAAACTACACGGAAGTATTCTGAGAAACTTCTTTGTGATGTGTGCATTTATCTCACAGAGTTGAACCTTTGGTTTGATTGAGCAGTTTTGAGATAATCTTTCCATAGAATCTGGAAGTGAATACTTGGATAACTTTGAGATCTATTTTGGAGAAGGAGATATCTTTATATAAAAACTGCACAGAAGCATTCTGAGAAACATCTTTGTGAGGTGTGCAATGAAGTCACAGAGTTGAAACTATCTTTTGATTCAGCAGTTTTGAGTCTCTCTTTTTGCAGAATCTGCGAGTGGATATCTGGAGAACGTTGAGGCCTACTTGGAAAAGGAAATATCTTCACATAAAAACTACGCAGAAGCATTTTGAGATACTTCTTTGTGAGGTGTGCATTCAACTCACAGAGTTGAACTTATCTTTCCATGGAGCACTTTCATATCTCTTTTTTTGTGGAATCTGCAAGTGGATATTTGGAGCTCTTTGCACCCTGTGGTGGAAAGGGAAATATCTTCATATAAAAACTACAAAGAAGCATTCAGAGAAACTTCTTTGTGATGAATGCATTCCTCACACAGAAGTTGAAGCCTTTCTTTTTATTGAGCAGTATTGAAACGCTCCTTTTGCAGAATCACCAAGTGGATATTTGGAGAGCTTTGGGGCCTGATTTGGAAAATGAAATATCTTCAAAGTAAAACTACACAGAACCATTCTGAGAAACTTCTTTATGATGTGTGCATTCAACTCTCAGAGTTGAACCTACCTTATGATTGAGCAATTTGGAAACACTCTTTTTGTAGAGCCTGCAAGTGGATATTTAGAACGATTTGAGGCCTATTGTGGAAAAGCAAATATCTTCACATAAAAACTACACAGAAGCATTCTGAGAAACTTCTTTGGCATGTGTGCATTCAACTAACAGTGTTGAACGTATCTTTTGATTGAGCAGCTTAGAATCTCTCTTTTTGTAGAAAATGCAAGTAGATATTTGGAGCCCCATTTTGCCCTATGGTAGAAAACAAAACATCTTCACATAAAATCTACACAGAAGCATTCTGAGAAACTTCTTTGTGATGTTTGCATTGAACTCCCAGAGTCGAACCTATCTTTTGATAGAGCACTTTTGTATCTCTCTTTTTGCGGAATCTGCAAGTGGATATTTGGAAAGCTTGAGGCCTATTGTGAAAAAGGAAATATCTTCACATAAAAACTACAGAGAAGCATTCTGAGAAACTTCTTTGTGAGGCATGGATTCAACCCACAGAGTTGGACTTATCATTGAGCAGTTTTGAATCTCTCTTTTTGTCGAATCTGCAAGTGGATATTTGGAGCCCTTTGCAACCTAGGGTGGAAAAGGAAATACCTTCAAATAAAAACTATATAGAAGCATTCCGTAAAACTTCTTTGTGACGTGTGCATTCGTCTCACAGAGTTGAACCTATCTAATGATTGAGCGGTTTTGAAACACTCATTTTGTAGAACCTGCAAGTGGATATTGGGAGTACTTTGTGGCCTTCTTTGGAAAAGGGAATATCTTCACATAAAAATTACAAAGAAGCATTCTGAGAAACTTCTTTGTGATGTGTGCATTCATCTCACAGTGTTGGACGTTTCTTTTGATAGGGCAGTTTTGAAACACTCTTTTTCTAGAATCTGCAAGTGGATATTTAGAGCGCTTTGAGGCCTAATGTGGAAAATCAAATATCTTCACATAAAAACTACACAGAGGCATTCTGAGAAACTTCTTTTTTGTGTGTGCATTCAACTCACATAGTTGAAGTAATCTTTGGATTTAGCTGTTTTGAATCTCCTTTTTGCAGAATCTGCAAGTTGATACTTGGAGCCCTGTTTCACCCTATAGTGGAAAAGCAAATATCTTCACATAAACAAACCCTACAGAGAAGCATTCAGAGAAAGTCCTTTGTGATGTGTGCATTGAACATGCAGAGTTGACACTATCTTTTGATTGTACAGTTTTGAATACGTCTTTTTGTAGAATCTGCAAGTGGAAGTTTGGAGCTGTTTGCACCCTGTGGTGTAAAAGGAAATATCTTCATATAAAAGCTACACAGAAGCATTCAGAAAGACTTCTTTGTGATGAATGCGTTCCTCACACAGAGTTGAATCTTCCTTTTTATTGAGTAGTATTGAAACCCTCTTTTTGCAGAATAACCAGGTGGATATTTGGAGAGCTTTGAGGCCTGTTTTGGAAAAGCAAATATCTTCAAATTAAAACCACACAGAAGCATTCTGAGAAGCTTCTTTGTGATGTGTGCATTCAACTCTCAGAGTTCAACGTGTCTTATGATGGAGCAGTTTGGAAACACTCTTTTTTGTAGAAACTGCAAGTGGATATGTAGAGCGATTTGAGGCCTACTGTGGAAAAGCAAATATCTTCACATAACAACTACACAGAAGCACTCCTAGAAACTTCTTTGTGATGTGTGAATTCAACTCACAGAGCTGAACCTATCTTTTGATGGAGTAGCTTAGAATCTCTCTTTTTTTAGAATCTGCACGTGGATATTTGGAGCGCTTTGAGACCTAAAGTGGAAAAGCAAATATCTTCACATAAAATCTACATAGAGGCACTCTAAGAAACTTCTTTTTGATGTGTGCATTCACCTCACAGAGCTGAACCGATCCTTTGAGTGACCAGTTTTGAATCTCTCTTTTTGTACAATCTGCAAGTGGATATTTGGAGCCCTTTGCGGCCTATGGTGGAAAAGGAAATATCTTCAAATAAAAACTACACAGAAATACTGTGAGAAACTTCTTTGTTATGTGAGCATTCAACTCACAGAGTTGAACCTATCTTTTGATTGAGCAGTTTTGAATCTCTCATTTTGCAGAATCTGCAAGGGGATATTTGGAGCCCTTTGCAGCCTATGGTGGAAAAGGAAATACCTTCAAATGAAAAGCACACAGAGGCATTCTGAGAAACTTCCTCGTGATTGTGCATTCAACTCACAGAGTTAAACCTATCTTATGATTGACCAGTTTTGGAACACTCTTTTCATAGGATCTGCAAGTGGATATTTGGCGTGCTTTGAGGCCTATCGTGGAAAAGCAAACTATACAGAAGCATTCTGAGAAACTTCTTTGTGATGTGTGCATTGATCTCACAAAGTTGAAAGTGTATTTTGATTGAGCAGTTTTAAAACACTCCTTCTGTAGAATCTGCAAGTGGATAATTGGAGAGATTTGAGGTATGTTGTGGAAAAGCAAATATCTTCATATAAAAACTATACAGAAGCCTTCTGAGAAACATCTTTGTGAGGTTTGCATTCAACTCACAGAGCTGGACCTATCTCTTGAGTGACCAGTTTTGAATCTCTCTTTTTGTTCAATCTGCAAGTGGATATTTGGAGCGATTTGAGGCCTACATTTGAAAATAAAATATCTTCCCTTAAAATCTACACAGAAACATTCTCAGAAATTGTTTGTCATGTGGGCTTTCAAATTACCAGGTTGAACCTATCTTGTGATTGAGCAGTTCTGAATCTCTCTTTTTGTGGAATCTGCAAATGGATATTTTTAGCCCTTTGCGGACTGTGGTGGAAAAGGAATTATCTTCAAATCCATTCTACACAGAAGCATTCAGACAAACTTTTTGTGATGAGTGCATTGGTCACACAGAATTGAACCTCTCCTTTGATTGAGCAATTCTGAAACACTCTTTCAGAGGGTCTGCAAGTGGATATTTTAGAGCTTTGGGACAATTGTGGAAAAGTAAATATCTTCACATAGAAACTACACGGAAAGCATTCTGAGAAACTTCTTTGGAGGTGTGCATTCAACTCACAGAGTTGAACCTATCTTTTCATTGAGCAGTTTTGAATCTCTCTTTTTGTAGACTCTGCTTGCAGATACTTGGAGAGCTTTGAGGCCTATTGTGGAAAAGGAATCATCTTCACATAAAAACACACAGAAGCACTCTGAGAAACTTCTTTGTGAAGTGTGCATTCAACTCACAGAGTTGAACCTATCTTTTGATTGAGAAGCTTTGAATCTCTCTTTTTGTAGAAGCTGCATGTGGATATTTGGAGACGTTTGTGGCCTATGGTAGAAAAGGCAATATCTTCAAATAAAAACTAGACAGAAGCATTTTGAGAAAATTCTCTGTGCTGTGTGCATTCATATCACATGGTTGAAACTACCTTTTGATTGAGCAGTTTCGAGTCTCTCTGTTTGTACCATCTGCAATGGATATTTGGAGCCCTTTGTGGTCTGTGGTGGAAAAGGAACTATCCTCAAATAAAAACTACACGGAAGTATTCCGAGAAACTTCCTTGTGATGTGTGCATTCATCTCATAGGGTTGAACCTTTGGTTTGATTGAGCAGTTTTGAGACAATCTTTCCATAGAATCTGGAAGTGAATATTTGGAGAACCTTGAGATCTATTTTGGAGAAGGAGATATCTTTATATAAAAACTGCACAGAAGCATTCTGAGAAACATCTTTGTGAGGTGTGCAATGAAGTCACAGAGTTGAAACTATCTTTTGATTCAGCAGTTTTGAGTCTCTCTTTTTGCAGAATCTGCGAGTGGATATCTGGAGAACGTTGAGGCCTACTTGGAAAAGGAAATATCTTCACATAAAAACTACGCAGAAGCATTTTGAGATTCTTCTTTGTGAGGTGTGCATGCAACTCACAGAGTTGAACTTATCTTTTCCTTGAGCACTTTCATATCTCATTTTCTGTAGAATCTGCAAGTGGATATTTGGAGCTCTTTGCACCCTGTGGTGGAAAGGGAACTATCTTCATATAAAAACTACAAAGAAGCATTCAGAGAAACTTCTTGTGATGAATGCATTCCTCACACAGAGCTGAACCTTTCTTTTTATGGAGCAGTATTGAAACGCTCTTTTTGCAGAATCACCAAGTGGATATTTGGAGAGCTTTGGGGCCTGTTTTGGAAAATGAAATATCTTCAAAGTAAAACTACACAGAACCATTCTGAGAAACTTCTTTATGATGTGTGCATTCAACTCTCAGAGTTGAACCTACCTTATGATTGAGCAATTTGGAAACACTCTTTTTGTAGAGCCTGCAAGTGGATATTTAGAACGATTTGAGGCCTATTGTGGAAAAGCAAATATCTTCACATAAAAACTACACAGAAGCATTCTGAGAAACTTCTTTGGCATGTGTGCATTCAACTAACAGTGTTGAACGTATCTTTTGATTGAGCAGCTTAGAATCTCTCTTTTTGTAGAAAATGCAAGTAGATATTTGGAGCCCCATTTTGCCCTATGGTAGAAAACAAAACATCTTCACATAAAATCTACACAGAAGCATTCTGAGAAACTTCTTTGTGATGTTTGCATTGAACTCCCAGAGTCGAACCTATCTTTTGATAGAGCACTTTTGTATCTCTCTTTTTGCGGAATCTGCAAGTGGATATTTGGAAAGCTTGAGGCCTATTGTGAAAAAGGAAATATCTTCACATAAAAACTACAGAGAAGCATTCTGAGAAACTTCTTTGTGAGGCATGGATTCAACCCACAGCAGTTGGACTTATCATTGAGCAGTTTTGAATCTCTCTTTTTGTCGAATCTGCAAGTGGATATTTGGAGCCCTTTGCAACCTAGGGTGGAAAAGGAAATACCTTCAAATAAAAACTATATAGAAGCATTCCGTAAAACTTCTTTGTGACGTGTGCATTCGTCTCACAGAGTTGAACCTATCTAATGATTGAGCGGTTTTGAAACACTCATTTTGTAGAACCTGCAAGTGGATATTGGGAGTACTTTGTGGCCTTCTTTGGAAAAGGGAATATCTTCACATAAAAACTACAAAGAAGCATTCTGAGAAACATCTTTGTGATGTGTGCATTCAAGTCACGGAGGTGAACCTATCTTTTGATGGAGCAGTTTTGAATCTCTCTTCTTGTAGATTCTGAAAGTAGATATTTGGAGCACTTTGAGGTCTACTGTGGAAAATCAAATATCTTCACATAAGAACTACACAAAGGCATTCTGAGAAACTTCTTTTTTTGTGTGTGCATTCAACTCACATAGTTGAAGTAATCTTTGGATTTAGCTGTTTTGAATCTCCTTTTTGCAGAATCTGCAAGTTGATACTTGGAGCCCTGTTTCACCCTATAGTGGAAAAGCAAATGTCTTCACATAAACAAACCCTACAGAGAAGCATTCAGAGAAAGTCCTTTGTGATGTGTGCATTGAACATGCAGAGTTGACACTATCTTTTGATTGTACAGTTTTGAATACGTCTTTTTGTAGAATCTGCAAGTGGAAGTTTGGAGCTGTTTGCACCCTGTGGTGTAAAAGGAAATATCTTCATATAAAAGCTACACAGAAGCATTCAGAAAGACTTCTTTGTGATGAATGCGTTCCTCACACAGAGTTGAATCTTCCTTTTTATTGAGTAGTATTGAAACCCTCTTTTTGCAGAATAACCAGGTGGATATTTGGAGAGCTTTGAGGCCTGTTTTGGAAAAGCAAATATCTTCAAATTAAAACCACACAGAAGCATTCTGAGAAGCTTCTTTGTGATGTGTGCATTCAACTCTCAGAGTTCAACGTGTCTTATGATGGAGCAGTTTGGAAACACTCTTTTTTGTAGAAACTGCAAGTGGATATGTAGAGCGATTTGAGGCCTACTGTGGAAAAGCAAATATCTTCACATAACAACTACACAGAAGCACTCCTAGAAACTTCTTTGTGATGTGTGAATTCAACTCACAGAGCTGAACCTATCTTTTGATGGAGTAGCTTAGAATCTCTCTTTTTTTAGAATCTGCACGTGGATATTTGGAGCGCTTTGAGACCTAAAGTGGAAAAGCAAATATCTTCACATAAAATCTACATAGAGGCACTCTAAGAAACTTCTTTTTGATGTGTGCATTCACCTCACAGAGCTGAACCGATCCTTCGAGTGACCAGTTTTGAATCTCTCTTTTTATACAATCTGCAAGTGGATATTTGGAGCCCTTTGCGGCCTATGGTGGAAAAGGAAATATCTTCAAATAAAAACTACACAGAAATACTGTGAGAAACTTCTTTGTTATGTGAGCATTCAACTCACAGAGTTGAACCTATCTTTTGATTGAGCAGTTTTGAATCTCTCATTTTGCAGAATCTGCAAGGGGATATTTGGAGCCCTTTGCGGCCTATGGTGGAAAAGGAAATACCTTCAAATGAAAAGCACACAGAGGCATTCTGAGAAACTTCCTCGTGATTGTGCATTCAACTCACAGAGTTAAACCTATCTTATGATTGACCAGTTTTGGAACACTCTTTTCATAGGATCTGCAAGTGGATATTTGGCGTGCTTTGAGGCCTATCGTGGAAAAGCAAATAACTTCAGATAAAAACTATACAGAAGCATTCTGAGAAACTTCTTTGTGATGTGTGCATTGATCTCACAGAGTTGAAAGTGTATTTTGATTGAGCAGTTTTGAAACACTCTTTTTGTAGAATCTGCAAGTGGATAATTGGGGGAGATTTGAGGTATATTGTGGAAAAGCAAGTATCTTCATATAAAAACTATACAGAAGCTTTCTGAGAAACATCTTTGTGAGGTTTGCATTCAACTCACAGAGCTGGAACTATCTTTTGAGTGACCAGTTTTGAATCTCTCTTTTTGTACAATCTGCAAGTGGATATTTGGAGCGTTTTGAGGCCTACATTTGAAAATCAAATATCTTCCCTTAAAAGCTACACAGAAACATTCTCAGAAATTGTTTGTCATGTGTGCTTTCAAATTACCAAGTTGAACCTACCTTGTGATTGAGCAGTTTTGAATCTCTCTTTTTGTGGAATCTGCAAGTGGATATTTTTAGCCATTTGCGGACTGTGGTGGAAAAGGAATTATCTTCAAATCCATTCTACACAGAAGCATTCAGACAAACTTTTTGTGATGAGTGCATTGGTCACACAGAATTGAACCTCTCCTTTGATTGAGCAATTCTGAAACACTCTTTCAGAGGGTCTGCAAGTGGATATTTTAGAGCTTTGGGACAATTGTGGAAAAGTAAATATCTTCACATAGAAACTACACGGAAAGCATTCTGAGAAACTTCTTTGGAGGTGTGCATTCAACTCACAGAGTTGAACCTATCTTTTCATTGAGCAGTTTTGAATCTCTCTTTTTGTAGACTCTGCTTGCAGATACTTGGAGAGCTTTGAGGCCTATTGTGGAAAAGGAATCATCTTCACATAAAAACACACAGAAGCACTCTGAGAAACTTCTTTGTGAAGTGTGCATTCAACTCACAGAGTTGAACCTATCTTTTGATTGAGAAGCTTTGAATCTCTCTTTTTGTAGAAGCTGCATGTGGATATTTGGAGACGTTTGTGGCCTATGGTAGAAAAGGCAATATCTTCAAATAAAAACTAGACAGAAGCATTTTGAGAAATTTCTCTGTGCTGTGTGCATTCATATCACATGGTTGAAACTACCTTTTGGTTGAGCAGTTTTGAATCTCTCTTTTTGTAACATCTGCAATGGATATTTGGAGCCCTTTGTGGTCTGTGGTGGAAAAGGAACTATCCTCAAATAAAAACTACACAGAAGTATTCCGAGAAACTTCCTTGTGATGTGTGCATTCATCTCATAGGGTTGAACCTTTGGTTTGATTGAGCAGTTTTGAGACAATCTTTCCATAGAATCTGGAAGTGAATATTTGGAGAACCTTGAGATCTATTTTGGAGAAGGAGATATCTTTATATAAAAACTGCACAGAAGCATTCTGAGAAACATCTTTGTGAGGTGTGCAATGAAGTCACAGAGTTGAAACTATCTTTTGATTCAGCAGTTTTGAGTCTCTCTTTTTGCAGAATCTGCGAGTGGATATCTGGAGAACGTTGAGGCCTACTTGGAAAAGGAAATATCTTCACATAAAAACTACGCAGAAGCATTTTGAGATTCTTCTTTGTGAGGTGTGCATGCAACTCACAGAGTTGAACTTATCTTTTCCTTGAGCACTTTCGTATCTCATTTTCTGTAGAATCTGCAAGTGGATATTTGGAGCTCTTTGCACCCTGTGGTGGAAAGGGAACTATCTTCATATAAAAACTACAAAGAAGCATTCAGAGAAACTTCTTGTGATGAATGCATTCCTCACACAGAGCTGAACCTTTCTTTTTATGGAGCAGTATTGAAACGCTCTTTTTGCAGAATCACCAAGTGGATATTTGGAGAGCTTTGGGGCCTGTTTTGGAAAATGAAATATCTTCAAAGTAAAACTACACAGAACCATTCTGAGAAACTTCTTTATGATGTGTGCATTCAACTCTCAGAGTTGAACCTACCTTATGATTGAGCAATTTGGAAACACTCTTTTTGTAGAGCCTGCAAGTGGATATTTAGAACGATTTGAGGCCTATTGTGGAAAAGCAAATATCTTCACATAAAAACTACACAGAAGCATTCTGAGAAACTTCTTTGGCATGTGTGCATTCAACTAACAGTGTTGAACGTATCTTTTGATTGAGCAGCTTAGAATCTCTCTTTTTGTAGAAAATGCAAGTAGATATTTGGAGCCCCATTTTGCCCTATGGTAGAAAACAGAACATCTTCACATAAAAACTACACAGAAGCATTCTGAGAAACTTCTTTGTGATGTTTGCATTGAACTCCCAGAGTCGAACCTATCTTTTGATAGAGCACTTTTGTATCTCTCTTTTTTGCGGAATCTGCAAGTGGATATTTGGAAAGCTTGAGGCCTATTGTGAAAAAGGAAATATCTTCACATAAAAACTACAGAGAAGCATTCTGAGAAACTTCTTTGTGAGGCATGGATTCAACCCACAGAGTTGGACTTATCATTGAGCAGTTTTGAATCTCTCTTTTTGTCGAATCTGCAAGTGGATATTTGGAGCCCTTTGCAACCTAGGGTGGAAAAGGAAATACCTTCAAATAAAAACTATATAGAAGCATTCCGAAAAACTTCTTTGTGATGTGTGCATTCATCTCACAGAGTTGAACCTATCTAATGATTGAGCAGTTTTGAAACACTCATTTTGTAGAACCTGGAAGTGGATATTGGGAGTAGTTTGTGGCCTTCTTTGGAAAAGGAAATATCTTCACATGAAAACTACAAAGAAGCATTCTGAGAAACTTTCTTTGTGATGTGTGCATTCATCTCACAGTGTTGGACGTTTCTTTTGATAGGGCAGTTTTGAAACACTCTTTTTCTAGAATCTGCAAGTGGATATTTAGAGCGCTTTGAGGCCTAATGTGGAAAATCAAATATCTTCACATAAAAACTACACAGAGGCATTCTGAGAAACTTCTTTTTTGTGTGTGCATTCAACTCACATAGTTGAAGTCATCTTTCGATTTAGCTGTTTTGAATCTCCTTTTTGCAGAATCTGCAAGTTGAGGCTTGGAGTCCTGTTTCACCCTATAGTGGAAAAGCAAATATCTTCACATAAACAAACACTACAGAGAAGCATTCAGAGAAAGTTCTTTGTGATGTGTGCATTGAACACGCAGAGTTGAAAGTATCTTTTGATTGTACAGTTTTGAATATCTCTTTTTGTAGTATCTGTAAGTGGAAGTTTGGAGCTCTTTGCCCCCTGTGGTGTAAAAGGAAATATTTTCATATAAAAACTACACAGAAGCATTCAGAGAGACTTCTTTGTGATGAATGCGTTCCTCACACAGAGTTGAATCTTCCTTTTTATTGAGTAGTATTGAAACCCTCTTTTTGCAGAATAACCAGGTGGATATTTGGAGAGCTTTGAGGCCTGTTTTGGAAAAGGAAATATCTTCAAATTAAAACCACACAGAAAGCATTCTGAGAAGCTTCTTTGTGATGTGTGCATTCAACTCTCAGAGTTCAACGTGTCTTATGATGGAGCAGTTTGGAAACACTCTTTTTTGTAGAAACTGCAAGTGGATATGTAGAGCGATTTGAGGCCTACTGTGGAAAAGCAAATATCTTCACATAACAACTACACAGAAGCACTCCTAGAAACTTCTTTGTGATGTGTGAATTCAACTCACAGAGCTGAACCTATCTTTTGATGGAGTAGCTTAGAATCTCTCTTTTTTTAGAATCTGCACGTGGATATTTGGAGCGCTTTGAGACCTAAAGTGGAAAAGCAAATATCTTCACATAAAATCTACATAGAGGCACTCTAAGAAACTTCTTTTTGATGTGTGCATTCACCTCACAGAGCTGAACCGATCCTTCGAGTGACCAGTTTTGAATCTCTCTTTTTATACAATCTGCAAGTGGATATTTGGAGCCCTTTGCGGCCTATGGTGGAAAAGGAAATATCTTCAAATAAAAACTACACAGAAATACTGTGAGAAACTTCTTTGTTATGTGAGCATTCAACTCACAGAGTTGAACCTATCTTTTGATTGAGCAGTTTTGAATCTCTCATTTTGCAGAATCTGCAAGGGGATATTTGGAGCCCTTTGCGGCCTATGGTGGAAAAGGAAATACCTTCAAATGAAAAGCACACAGAGGCATTCTGAGAAACTTCCTCGTGATTGTGCATTCAACTCACAGAGTTAAACCTATCTTATGATTGACCAGTTTTGGAACACTCTTTTCATAGGATCTGCAAGTGGATATTTGGCGTGCTTTGAGGCCTATCGTGGAAAAGCAAACTATACAGAAGCATTCTGAGAAACTTCTTTGTGATGTGTGCATTGATCTCACAGAGTTGAAAGTGTATTTTGATTGAGCAGTTTTGAAACACTCTTTTTGTAGAATCTGCAAGTGGATAATTGGGGAGATTTGAGGTATATTGTGGAAAAGCAAGTATCTTCATATAAAAACTATACAGAAGCTTTCTGAGAAACATCTTTGTGAGGTTTGCATTCAACTCACAGAGCTGGAACTATCTTTTGAGTGACCAGTTTTGAATCTCTCTTTTTGTACAATCTGCAAGTGGATATTTGGAGCGTTTTGAGGCCTACATTTGAAAATCAAATATCTTCCCTTAAAAGCTACACAGAAACATTCTCAGAAATTGTTTGTCATGTGGGCTTTCAAATTACCAAGTTGAACCTATCTTGTGATTGAGCAGTTCTGAATCTCTCTTTTTGTGGAATCTGCAAATGGATATTTTTAGCCCTTTGCGGACTGTGGTGGAAAAGGAATTATCTTCAAATCCATTCTACACAGAAGCATTCAGACAAACTTTTTGTGATGAGTGCATTGGTCACACAGAATTGAACCTCTCCTTTGATTGAGCAATTCTGAAACACTCTTTCAGAGGGTCTGCAAGTGGATATTTTAGAGCTTTGGGACAATTGTGGAAAAGTAAATATCTTCACATAGAAACTACACGGAAGCATTCTGAGAAACTTCTTTGGAGGTGTGCATTCAACTCACAGAGTTGAACCTATCTTTTCATTGAGCAGTTTTGAATCTCTCTTTTTGTAGACTCTGCTTGCAGATACTTGGAGAGCTTTGAGGCCTATTGTGGAAAAGGAATCATCTTCACATAAAAACACACAGAAGCACTCTGAGAAACTTCTTTGTGAGGTGTGCATTCAACTCACAGAGTTGAACCTATCTTTTGATGGAGAAGTTTTGAATCTCTCTTTTTGTAGAAGCTGCATGTGGATATTTGGAGACGTTTGTGGCCTATGGTAGAAAAGGATATATCTTCAAATAAAAACTAGACAGAAGCATTTTGAGAAAATTCTCTGTGCTGTGTGCATTCATATCACATGGTTGAAACTACCTTTTGATTGAGCAGTTTCGAGTCTCTCTGTTTGTACCATCTGCAATGGATATTTGGAGCCCTTTGTGGTCCTGTGGTGGAAAAGGAACTATCCTCAAATAAAAACTACACGGAAGTATTCTGAGAAACTTCTTTGTGATGTGTGCATTTATCTCACAGAGTTGAACCTTTGGTTTGATTGAGCAGTTTTGAGATAATCTTTCCATAGAATCTGGAAGTGAATACTTGGATAACTTTGAGATCTATTTTGGAGAAGGAGATATCTTTATATAAAAACTGCACAGAAGCATTCTGAGAAACATCTTTGTGAGGTGTGCAATGAAGTCACAGAGTTGAAACTATGTTTTGATTCAGCAGTTTTGAGTCTCTCTTTTTGCAGAATCTGCGAGTGGATATCTGGAGAACTTGGAGGCCTATTTGGAAAAGGAAATATCTTCACATATAAACTATGCAGAAGCATTTTGAGATTCTTCTTTGTGAGGTGTGCATGCAACTCACAGAGTTGAACTTATCTTTTCCTTGAGCACTTTCATATCTCATTTTCTGTAGAATCTGCAAGTGGATATTTGGAGCTCTTTGCACCCTGTGGTGGAAAGGGAACTATCTTCATATAAAAACTACAAAGAAGCATTCAGAGAAACTTCTTGTGATGAATGCATTCCTCACACAGAGCTGAACCTTTCTTTTTATGGAGCAGTATTGAAACGCTCTTTTTGCAGAATCACCAAGTGGATATTTGGAGAGCTTTGGGGCCTGTTTTGGAAAATGAAATATCTTCAAAGTAAAACTACACAGAACCATTCTGAGAAACTTCTTTATGATGTGTGCATTCAACTCTCAGAGTTGAACCTACCTTATGATTGAGCAATTTGGAAACACTCTTTTTGTAGAGCCTGCAAGTGGATATTTAGAACGATTTGAGGCCTATTGTGGAAAAGCAAATATCTTCACATAAAAACTACACAGAAGCATTCTCAGAGACTTCTTTGGGATGTGTGCATTCAACTAACAGTGTTGAACCTATCTTTTGATTGAGCAGCTTAGAATCTCTCCTTTTGTAGAAAATGCAAGTAGAGATTTGGAGCCCCATTTCGCCCTATGGTAGAAAACAGAACATCTTCACATAAAAACTACGCAGAAGCATTCTGAGAAACTTCTTTGTGATGTATTGCATTGAACTCCCAGAGTCGAACCTATCTTTTGATAGAGCAGTTTTGTATCTCTCTTTTTGCAGAATCTGCAAGTGGATATTTGGAAAGCTTGAGGCCTATTGTGAAAAAGGAAATATCTTCACATAGAAACTACAGAGAAGCATTCTGAGAAACTTCTCTGTGAGGCATGGATTCAACCCACAGAGTTGGACTTATCATTGAGCAGTTTTGAATCTCTCTTTTGGTCGAATCTGCAAGTGGATATTTGGAGCCCTTTTGCAACCTGTGGTGGAAAAGGAAACACCTTCACATAAAAACTATATAGAAGCATTCCGAAAAACTTCTTTGTGATGTGTGCATTCATCTCACAGAGTTGAACCTATCTAATGACTGAGCAGTTTTGAAACACTCATTTTGTAGAACCTGGAAGTGGATATTGGGAGTAGTTTGTGGCCTTCTTTGGAAAAGGAAATATCTTCACATGAAAACTACAAAGAAGCATTCTGAGAAACTTCTTTGTGATGTGTGCATGCATCTCACAGTGTTGGACGTTTCTTTTGATAGGGCAGTTTCGAAAGAGTCTTCCTGTAGAGTCTACAAGTGGATATTTGGAGCGCTTTGAGGCCTAATGTGGAAAATCAAATATCTTCACATAAAAACTACACAGAGGCATTCTGAGAAACTTCTTTTTTGTGTGTGCATTCTACTCACATAGTTGAAGTTATCTTTCGATTTAGCTGTTTTGAATCTCCTTTTTGCAGAATCTGCAAGTTGATACCTGGAGCCCTGTTTCACCCTATAGTGGAAAAGCAAATATCTTCACATAAACAAACACTACAGAGAAGCATTCAGAGAAAGTCCTTTGTGATGTGTGCATTGAACACGCAGAGTTGAAACTATCTTTTGATTGTACAGTTTTGAATATCTCTTTTTGTAGAATCTGCAAGTGGAAGTTTGGAGCTGTTTGCACGCTGTGGTGCAAAAGGAAATATCTTCATATAAAAACTACACAGAAGCTTTCAGAGAGACTTCTTTGTGAGGAATGCGTTCCTCACACAGAGTTGAATCTTCCTTTTTATTGAGTAGTTTTGAAACCCTCTTTTTGCAGAATAACCAGGGGGATATATGGAGAGTTTTGAGGCCTGTTTTGGAAAAGGAAACATCTTCAAATTAAAACCACACAGAAGCATTCTGAGAAGCTTCTTTGTGATGTGTGCATTCAACTCTCAGAGTTCAACGTGTCTTATGATGGAGCAGTTTGGAAACACTCTTTTTTGTAGAAACTGCAAGTGGATATGTAGAGCGATTTGAGGCCTACTGTGGAAAAGCAAATATCTTCACATAACAACTACACAGAAGCACTCCTAGAAACTTCTTTGTGATGTGTGAATTCAACTCACAGAGCTGAACCTATCTTTTGATGGAGTAGCTTAGAATCTCTCTTTTTTTAGAATCTGCACGTGGATATTTGGAGCGCTTTGAGACCTAAAGTGGAAAAGCAAATATCTTCACATAAAATCTACATAGAGGCACTCTAAGAAACTTCTTTTTGATGTGTGCATTCAACTCACAGAGCTGAACCTATCTTTTGAGTGACCAGTTTTGAATCTCTCTTTTTTTACAATCTGCAAGTGGATATTTGGAGCCCTTTGTGGCCTATGGTGGAAAAGGAAATATCTTCAAATAAAAACTACACAGAAATACTGTGAGAAACTTCTTTGTTATGTGAGCATTCAACTCACAGAGCTGAACCTATCTTTTGATTGAGCAGTTTTGAATCTCTCATTTTGCAGAATCTGCAAGGGGATATTTGGAGCCCTTTGCTACCTAGGGTGGAAAAGGAAATACCTCCAAATAAAAACTACACAGAGGCATTCTGAGAAACTTCCTCGTGATTGTGCATTCAACTCACAGAGTTAAACCTATCTTATGATTGACCAGTTTTGGAACACTCTTTTCATAGGATCTGCAAGTGGATATTTGGCGTGCTTTGAGGCCTATCGTGGAAAAGCAAATAACTTCAGATAAAAACTATACAGAAGCATTCTGAGAAACTTCTTTGTGATGTGTGCATTGATCTCACAGAGTTGAAAGTGTATTTTGATTGAGCAGTTTTGAAACACTCTTTTTGTAGAATCTGCAAGTGGATAATTGGGGAGATTTGAGGTATATTGTGGAAAAGCAAGTATCTTCATATAAAAACTATACAGAAGCTTTCTGAGAAACATCTTTGTGAGGTTTGCATTCAACTCACAGAGCTGGAACTATCTTTTGAGTGACCAGTTTTGAATCTCTCTTTTTGTACAATCTGCAAGTGGATATTTGGAGCGTTTTGAGGCCTACATTTGAAAATCAAATATCTTCCCTTAAAAGCTACACAGAAACATTCTCAGAAATTGTTTGTCATGTGGGCTTTCAAATTACCAAGTTGAACCTATCTTGTGATTGAGCAGTTCTGAATCTCTCTTTTTGTGGAATCTGCAAATGGATATTTTTAGCCCTTTGCGGACTGTGGTGGAAAAGGAATTATCTTCAAATCCATTCTACACAGAAGCATTCAGACAAACTTTTTGTGATGAGTGCATTGGTCACACAGAATTGAACCTCTCCTTTGATTGAGCAATTCTGAAACACTCTTTCAGAGGGTCTGCAAGTGGATATTTTAGAGCTTTGGGACAATTGTGGAAAAGTAAATATCTTCACATAAAAACTACACGGAAGCATTCTGAGAAACTTCTTTGGAGGTGTGCATTCAACTCACAGAGTTGAACCTATCTTTTCATTGAGCAGTTTTGAATCTCTCTTTTTGTAGACTCTGCTTGCAGATATTTGGAGAGCTTTGAGGCCTATTGTGGAAAAGGGAATATGTTCACATAAAAACACACAGAAGCACTCTGAGAAACTTCTTTGTGAAGTGTGCATTCAACTCACAGAGTTGAACCTATCTTTTGATTGAGAAGCTTTGAATCTCTCTTTTTGTAGAAGCTGCATGTGGATATTTGGAGACGTTTGTGGCCTATGGTAGAAAAGGCAATATCTTCAAATAAAAACTAGACAGAAGCATTTTGAGAAATTTCTCTGTGCTGTGTGCATTCATATCACATGGTTGAAACTACCTTTTGGTTGAGCAGTTTTGAATCTCTCTTTTTGTAACATCTGCAATGGATATTTGGAGCCCTTTGTGGTCTGTGGTGGAAAAGGAACTATCCTCAAATAAAAACTACACAGAAGTATTCTGAGAAACTTCTTTGTGATGTGTGCATTTATCTCACAGAGTTGAACCTTTGGTTTGATTGAGCAGTTTTGAGATAATCTTTCCATAGAATCTGGAAGTGAATACTTGGATAACTTTGAGATCTATTTTGGAGAAGGAGATATCTTTATATAAAAACTGCACAGAAGCATTCTGAGAAACATCTTTGTGAGGTGTGCAATGAAGTCACAGAGTTGAAACTATGCTTTGATTCAGCAGTTTTGAGTCTCTCTTTTTGCAGAATCTGCGAGTGGATATCTGGAGAACTTGGAGGCCTATTTGGAAAAGGAAATATCTTCACATATAAACTATGCAGAAGCATTTTGAGATTCTTCTTTGTGAGGTGTGCATGCAACTCACAGAGTTGAACTTATCTTTTCCTTGAGCACTTTCATATCTCATTTTCTGTAGAATCTGCAAGTGGATATTTGGAGCTCTTTGCACCCTGTGGTGGAAAGGGAACTATCTTCATATAAAAACTACAAAGAAGCATTCAGAGAAACTTCTTGTGATGAATGCATTCCTCACACAGAGCTGAACCTTTCTTTTTATGCAGCAGTATTGAAACGCTCTTTTTGCAGAATCACCAAGTGGATATTTGGAGAGCTTTGGGGCCTGTTTTGGAAAATGAAATATCTTCAAAGTAAAACTACACAGAACCATTCTGAGAAACTTCTTTATGATGTGTGCATTCAACTCTCAGAGTTGAACCTACCTTATGATTGAGCAATTTGGAAACACTCTTTTTGTAGAGCCTGCAAGTGGATATTTAGAACGATTTGAGGCCTATTGTGGAAAAGCAAATATGTTCACATAAAAACTACACAGAAGCATTCTGAGAAACTTCTTTGGCATGTGTGCATTCAACTAACAGTGTTGAACGTATCTTTTGATTGAGCAGCTTAGAATCTCTCTTTTTGTAGAAAATGCAAGTAGATATTTGGAGCCCCATTTTGCCCTATGGTAGAAAACAAAACATCTTCACATAAAATCTACACAGAAGCATTCTGAGAAACTTCTTTGTGATGTTTGCATTGAACTCCCAGAGTCGAACCTATCTTTTGATAGAGCACTTTTGTATCTCTCTTTCTGCGGAATCTGCAAGTGGATATTTGGAAAGCTTGAGGCCTATTGTGAAAAAGGAAATATCTTCACATAAAAACTACAGAGAAGCATTCTGAGAAACTTCTTTGTGAGGCATGGATTCAACCCACAGAGTTGGACTTATCATTGAGCAGTTTTGAATCTCTCTTTTTGTCGAATCTGCAAGTGGATATTTGGAGCCCTTTGCAACCTTGGGTGGAAAAGGAAATACCTTCAAATAAAACCTATATAGAAGCATTCCGTAAAACTTCTTTGTGACGTGTGCATTCGTCTCACAGTAGTTGAACCTATCTAATGATTGAGCGGTTTTGAAACACTCATTTTGTAGAACCTGCAAGTGGATATTGGGAGTACTTTGTGGCCTTCTTTGGAAAAGGGAATATCTTCACATAAAAACTACAAAGAAGCATTCTGAGAAACTTCTTTGTGATGTGTGCATTCATCTCACAGTGTTGGACGTTTCTTTTGATAGGGCAGTTTTGAAACACTCTTTTTCTAGAATCTGCAAGTGGATATTTGGAGCACTTTGAGGCCTAATGTGGAAAATCAAATATCTTCACATAAAAACTACACAGAGGCATTCTGAGAAACTTCTTTTTTGTGTGTGCATTCAACTCACATAGTTGAAGTAATCTTTGGATTTAGCTGTTTTGAATCTCCTTTTTGCAGAATCTGCAAGTTGATACTTGGAGCCCTGTTTCACCCTATAGTGGAAAAGCAAATATCTTCACATAAACAAACCCTACAGAGAAGCATTCAGAGAAAGTCCTTTGTGATGTGTGCATTGAACATGCAGAGTTGACACTATCTTTTGATTGTACAGTTTTGAATACGTCTTTTTGTAGAATCTGCAAGTGGAAGTTTGGAGCTGTTTGCACCCTGTGGTGTAAAAGGAAATATCTTCATATAAAAGCTACACAGAAGCATTCAGAAAGACTTCTTTGTGATGAATGCGTTCCTCACACAGAGTTGAATCTTCCTTTTTATTGAGTAGTATTGAAACCCTCTTTTTGCAGAATAACCAGGTGGATATTCGGAGAGCTTTGAGGTCTGTTTTGGAAAAGGAAATATCTTCAAATTAAAACCACACAGAAGCATTCTGAGAAGCTTCTTTGTGATGTGTGCATTCAACTCTCAGAGTTCAACGTGTCTTATGATGGAGCAGTTTGGAAACACTCTTTTTTGTAGAAACTGCAAGTGGATATGTAGAGCGATTTGAGGCCTACTGTGGAAAAGCAAATATCTTCACATAAAAACTACACAGAAGCATTCTGAGAAACTTCTTTGGCATGTGTGCATTCAACTAACAGTGTTGAACGTATCTTTTGATTGAGCAGCTTAGAATCTCTCTTTTTGTAGAAAATGCAAGTAGATATTTGGAGCCCCATTTTGCCCTATGGTAGAAAACAAAACATCTTCACATAAAATCTACACAGAAGCATTCTGAGAAACTTCTTTGTGATGTTTGCATTGAACTCCCAGAGTCGAACCTATCTTTTGATAGAGCAGTTTTGTATCTCTCTTTTTGCAGAATCTGCAAGTGGATATTTGGAAAGCTTGAGGCCTATTGTGAAAAAGGAAATATCTTCACATAGAAACTACAGAGAAGCATTCTGAGAAACTTCTTTGTGAGGCATGGATTCAACCCACAGAGTTGGACTTATCATTGAGCAGTTTTGAATCTCTCTTTTTGTCGAATCTGCAAGTGGATATTTGGAGCCCTTTGCAACCTAGGGTGGAAAAGGAAATACCTTCAAATAAAAACTATATAGAAGCATTCCGTAAAACTTCTTTGTGATGTGTGCATTCGTCTCACAGAGTTGAACCTATCTAATGATTGAGCGGTTTTGAAACACTCATTTTGTAGAACCTGCAAGTGGATATTGGGAGTACTTTGTGGCCTTCTTTGGAAAAGGGAATATCTTCACATAAAAACTACAAAGAAGCATTCTGAGCAAACTTCTTTGTGATGTGTGCATTCATCTCACAGTGTTGGACGTTTCTTTTGATAGGGCAGTTTTGAAACACTCTTTTTCTAGAATCTGCAAGTGGATATTTAGAGCGCTTTGAGGCCTAATGTGGAAAATCAAATATCTTCACATAAAAACTACACAGAGGCATTCTGAGAAACTTCTTTTTTGTGTGTGCATTCAACTCACATAGTTGAAGTAATCTTTGGATTTAGCTGTTTTGAATCTCCTTTTTGCAGAATCTGCAAGTTGATACTTGGAGCCCTGTTTCACCCTATAGTGGAAAAGCAAATATCTTCACATAAACAAACCCTACAGAGAAGCATTCAGAGAAAGTCCTTTGTGATGTGTGCATTGAACATGCAGAGTTGACACTATCTTTTGATTGTACAGTTTTGAATACGTCTTTTTGTAGAATCTGCAAGTGGAAGTTTGGAGCTGTTTGCACCCTGTGGTGTAAAAGGAAATATCTTCATATAAAAGCTACACAGAAGCATTCAGAAAGACTTCTTTGTGATGAATGCGTTCCTCACACAGAGTTGAATCTTCCTTTTTATTGAGTAGTATTGAAACCCTCTTTTTGCAGAATAACCAGGTGGATATTCGGAGAGCTTTGAGGCCTGTTTTGGAAAAGGAAATATCTTCAAATTAAAACCACACAGAAGCATTCTGAGAAACTTCTTTGTGATGTGTGCATTCAACTCTCAGAGTTGAACGTGTCTTATGATGGAGCAGTTTGGAAACACTCTTTTTGTAGAAACTGCAAGTGGATATGTAGAGCGATTTGAGGCCTACTGTGGAAAAGCAAATATCTTCACATAACAACTACACAGAAGCACTCCTAGAAACTTCTTTGTGATGTGTGAATTCAACTCACAGAGCTGAACCTATCTTTTGATGGAGTAGCTTAGAATGTCTCTTTTTTTAGAATCTGCACGTGGATATTTGGAGCGCTTTGAGACCTAAAGTGGAAAAGCAAATATCTTCACATAAAATCTACATAGAGGCACTCTAAGAAACTTCTTTTTGATGTGTGCATTCACCTCACAGAGCTGAACCGATCCTTCGAGTGACCAGTTTTGAATCTCTCTTTTTATACAATCTGCAAGTGGATATTTGGAGCCCTTTGCGGCCTATGGTGGAAAAGGAAATATCTTCAAATAAAAACTACACAGAAATACTGTGAGAAACTTCTTTGTTATGTGAGCATTCAACTCACAGAGTTGAACCTATCTTTTGATTGAGCAGTTTTGAATCTCTCATTTTGCAGAATCTGCAAGGGGATATTTGGAGCCCTTTGCGGCCTATGGTGGAAAAGGAAATACCTTCAAATGAAAAGCACACAGAGGCATTCTGAGAAACTTCCTCGTGATTGTGCATTCAACTCACAGAGTTAAACCTATCTTATGATTGACCAGTTTTGGAACACTCTTTTCATAGGATCTGCAAGTGGATATTTGGCGTGCTTTGAGGCCTATCGTGGAAAAGCAAATAACTTCAGATAAAAACTATACAGAAGCATTCTGAGAAACTTCTTTGTGATGTGTGCATTGATCTCACAGAGTTGAAAGTGTATTTTGATTGAGCAGTTTTGAAACACTCTTTTTGTAGAATCTGCAAGTGGATAATTGGGGAGATTTGAGGTATATTGTGGAAAAGCAAGTATCTTCATATAAAAACTATACAGAAGCTTTCTGAGAAACATCTTTGTGAGGTTTGCATTCAACTCACAGAGCTGGAACTATCTTTTGAGTGACCAGTTTTGAATCTCTCTTTTTGTACAATCTGCAAGTGGATATTTGGAGCGTTTTGAGGCCTACATTTGAAAATCAAATATCTTCCCTTAAAAGCTACACAGAAACATTCTCAGAAATTGTTTGTCATGTGTGCTTTCAAATTACCAAGTTGAACCTACCTTGTGATTGAGCAGTTTTGAATCTCTCTTTTTGTGGAATCTGCAAGTGGATATTTTTAGCCATTTGCGGACTGTGGTGGAAAAGGAATTATCTTCAAATCCATTCTACACAGAAGCATTCAGACAAACTTTTTGTGATGAGTGCATTGGTCACACAGAATTGAACCTCTCCTTTGATTGAGCAATTCTGAAACACTCTTTCAGAGGGTCTGCAAGTGGATATTTTAGAGCTTTGGGACAATTGTGGAAAAGTAAATATCTTCACATAGAAACTACACGGAAGCATTCTGAGAAACTTCTTTGGAGGTGTGCATTCAACTCACAGAGTTGAACCTATCTTTTCATTGAGCAGTTTTGAATCTCTCTTTTTGTAGACTCTGCTTGCAGATACTTGGAGAGCTTTGAGGCCTATTGTGGAAAAGGAATCATCTTCACATAAAAACACACAGAAGCACTCTGAGAAACTTCTTTGTGAGGTGTGCATTCAACTCACAGAGTTGAACCTATCTTTTGATGGAGAAGTTTTGAATCTCTCTTTTTGTAGAAGCTGCATGTGGATATTTGGAGACGTTTGTGGCCTATGGTAGAAAAGGATATATCTTCAAATAAAAACTAGACAGAAGCATTTTGAGAAAATTCTCTGTGCTGTGTGCATTCATATCACATGGTTGAAACTACCTTTTGATTGAGCAGTTTCGAGTCTCTCTGTTTGTACCATCTGCAATGGATATTTGGAGCCCTTTGTGGTCTGTGGTGGAAAAGGAACTATCCTCAAATAAAAACTACACGGAAGTATTCTGAGAAACTTCTTTGTGATGTGTGCATTTATCTCACAGAGTTGAACCTTTGGTTTGATTGAGCAGTTTTGAGATAATCTTTCCATAGAATCTGGAAGTGAATACTTGGATAACTTTGAGATCTATTTTGGAGAAGGAGATATCTTTATATAAAAACTGCACAGAAGCTTTCTGAGAAACACCCTTGTGAGGTGTGCATTGAAGTCACAGAGTTAAACCTATCTTTTGATTCAGCAGATTTGAATCTCTCTTCTTGCAGAATCTGCGAGTGGATATTTGGAGTGCTTTGAAGCCTACTGTGGAAAATCAAATATCTTCACATAAAAAATACACAGAAGCATTCTGAAAAACTTCTTTGTGATGTGTGCTTTCAACTCACACAGTTGAAACTATCTTTTGATTGAGCAGTTTTGAGTCTCTCTTTTTGCAGAATCTGCAAGTCGATATTTGGAACACTTTGAGGCCTACTGTGGAAAATCAAATATCTTCCCATAAAAACTACACAGAAGACTTCTGAGAAACTACATTGTGATGTGTGCATTCAACTCACAGAGTCGAACGTATCTTTTGATTGAGCAGTTTTGAATCTCTCTTTTTGCAGAATCTGCAAGTGGATATCCAGAGAACTCTGAGACCTATTTGGAAAAGGAAATATCTTCACATAAAAACTACGCAGAAGCATTTTGAGATACTTCTTTGTGAGGTGTGCATTCAACTCACAGAGTTGAACTTATCATTTCATTGAGCACATTCATATCTCTTTATTTGTAGAATCTGCAAGTGGATATTTGGAGCTCTTTGCACCCTGTGGTGGAAAGGGAAATATCTTCATATAAAAACTACAAAGAAGCATTCAGAGAAACTTCTTTGTGATGAATGCATTCCTCACACAGAGTTGAGCCTTTCTTTTTATTGAGCAGTATTGAAACGCTCTTTTTGCAGAATCACCAAGTGGATATTTGGAGAGCTTTGGGGCCTCATTTGGAAAATGAAATATCTTCAAAGTAAAACTACACAGAACCATTCTGAGAAACTTCTTTATGATGTGAGCATTCAACTCTCAGAGTTGAAGCTACCTTATGATTGAGCAATTTGGAAACACTCTTTTTGTAGAGCCTGCAAGTGGATATTTAGAACGATTTGAGGCCTATTGTGGAAAAGCAAATATCTTCACATAAAAACTACACAGAAGCATTCTGAGAAACTTCGTTGGGATGTGTGCATTCAACTAACAGTGTTGAACCTATCTTTTGATTGAGCAGCTTAGAATCTCTCCTTTTGTAGAAAATGCAAGTAGAGATTTGGAGCCCCATTTCGCCCTATGGTAGAAAACAGAACATCTTCACATAAAAACTACACAGAAGCATTCTGAGAAACTTCTTTGTGATGTTTGCATTGAACTCACAGAGTCGAACCTATCTTTTGATAGAGCAGTTTTGTATCTCTCTTTTTGCAGAATCTGCAAGTGGATATTTGGAAAGCTTGAGGCCTATTGTGAAAAAGGAAATATCTTCACATAGAAACTACAGAGAAGCATTCTGAGAAACTTCTTTGTGAGGCATGGATGCAACCCACAGAGTTGGACTTATCATTGAGCAGTTTTGAATCTCTCTTTTTGTCGAATCTGCAAGTGGATATTTGGAGCCCTTTGCAACCTAGGGTGGAAAAGGAAATACCTTCAAATAAAAACTCTATAGAAGCATTTCGAAAAACTTCTTTGTGATGTGTGCATTCAACTCACAGAGTTGAACCTATTTTTTGATTGAGCAGTTTTGAATCTCTCTTTTTGTAGAATCTGCAACTGGATATTTGGAGTCCTTTGCAGCCTATGGTGGAAAAGGAAATATCTTGAAAAAAAAAACTACACAGAAGCATTCTGAGAAACTTCTTTGTGATGTGTGCATTGATCTCACAGAGTTGAAAGTGTATTTTGATTGAGCAGTTTTGAAACACTCTTTTTGTAGAATCTGCAAGTGGATAATTGGGGGAGATTTGAGGTATATTGTGGAAAAGCAAGTATCTTCATATAAAAACTATACAGAAGCTTTCTGAGAAACATCTTTGTGAGGTTTGCATTCAACTCACAGAGCTGGAACTATCTTTTGAGTGACCAGTTTTGAATCTCTCTTTTTGTACAATCTGCAAGTGGATATTTGGAGCGTTTTGAGGCCTACATTTGAAAATCAAATATCTTCCCTTAAAAGCTACACAGAAACATTCTCAGAAATTGTTTGTCATGTGTGCTTTCAAATTACCAAGTTGAACCTACCTTGTGATTGAGCAGTTTTGAATCTCTCTTTTTGTGGAATCTGCAAGTGGATATTTTTAGCCATTTGCGGACTGTGGTGGAAAAGGAATTATCTTCAAATCCATTCTACACAGAAGCATTCAGACAAACTTTTTGTGATGAGTGCATTGGTCACACAGAATTGAACCTCTCCTTTGATTGAGCAATTCTGAAACACTCTTTCAGAGGGTCTGCAAGTGGATATTTTAGAGCTTTGGGACAATTGTGGAAAAGTAAATATCTTCACATAGAAACTACACGGAAGCATTCTGAGAAACTTCTTTGGAGGTGTGCATTCAACTCACAGAGTTGAACCTATCTTTTCATTGAGCAGTTTTGAATCTCTCTTTTTGTAGACTCTGCTTGCAGATATTTGGAGAGCTTTGAGGCCTATTGTGGAAAAGGGAATATGTTCACATAAAAACACACAGAAGCACTCTGAGAAACTTCTTTGTGAGGTGTGCATTCAACTCACAGAGTTGAACCTATCTTTTGATGGAGAAGTTTTGAATCTCTCTTTTTGTAGAAGCTGCATGTGGATATTTGGAGACGTTTGTGGCCTATGGTAGAAAAGGATATATCTTCAAATAAAAACTAGACAGAAGCATTTTGAGAAAATTCTCTGTGCTGTGTGCATTCATATCACATGGTTGAAACTACCTTTTGATTGAGCAGTTTCGAGTCTCTCTGTTTGTACCATCTGCAATGGATATTTGGAGCCCTTTGTGGTCTGTGGTGGAAAAGGAACTATCCTCAAATAAAAACTACACGGAAGTATTCTGAGAAACTTCTTTGTGATGTGTGCATTTATCTCACAGAGTTGAACCTTTGGTTTGATTGAGCAGTTTTGAGATAATCTTTCCATAGAATCTGGAAGTGAATACTTGGATAACTTTGAGATCTATTTTGGAGAAGGAGATATCTTTATATAAAAACTGCACAGAAGCATTCTGAGAAACATCTTTGTGAGGTGTGCAATGAAGTCACAGAGTTGAAACTATGCTTTGATTCAGCAGTTTTGAGTCTCTCTTTTTGCAGAATCTGCGAGTGGATATCTGGAGAACTTGGAGGCCTATTTGGAAAAGGAAATATCTTCACATATAAACTATGCAGAAGCATTTTGAGATTCTTCTTTGTGAGGTGTGCATGCAACTCACAGAGTTGAACTTATCTTTTCCTTGAGCACTTTCGTATCTCATTTTCTGTAGAATCTGCAAGTGGATATTTGGAGCTCTTTGCACCCTGTGGTGGAAAGGGAACTATCTTCATATAAAAACTACAAAGAAGCATTCAGAGAAACTTCTTTGTGATGAATGCATTCCTCACACAGAGCTGAACGTTTCTTTTTATTGAGCAGTATTGAAACGCTCTTTTTGCAGAATCACCAAGTGGATATTTGGAGAGCTTTGGGGCCTGTTTTGGAAAATGAAATATCTTCAAAGTAAAACTACACAGAACCATTCTGAGAAACTTCTTTATGATGTGAGCATTCAACTCTCAGAGTTGAAGCTACCTTATGATTGAGCAATTTGGAAACACTCTTTTTGTAGAGCCTGCAAGTGGATATTTAGAACGATTTGAGGCCTATTGTGGAAAAGCAAATATCTTCACATAAAAACTACACAGAAGCATTCTGAGAAACTTCTTTGGCATGTGTGCATTCAACTAACAGTGTTGAACGTATCTTTTGATTGAGCAGCTTAGAATCTCTCTTTTTGTAGAAAATGCAAGTAGATATTTGGAGCCCCATTTTGCCCTATGGTAGAAAACAAAACATCTTCACATAAAATCTACACAGAAGCATTCTGAGAAACTTCTTTGTGATGTTTGCATTGAACTCCCAGAGTCGAACCTATCTTTTGATAGAGCACTTTTGTATCTCTCTTTTTGCGGAATCTGCAAGTGGATATTTGGAAAGCTTGAGGCCTATTGTGAAAAAGGAAATATCTTCACATAAAAACTACAGAGAAGCATTCTGAGAAACTTCTTTGTGAGGCATGGATTCAACCCACAGAGTTGGACTTATCATTGAGCAGTTTTGAATCTCTCTTTTTGTCGAATCTGCAAGTGGATATTTGGAGCCCTTTGCAACCTAGGGTGGAAAAGGAAATACCTTCAAATAAAAACTATATAGAAGCATTCCGTAAAACTTCTTTGTGATGTGTGCATTCGTCTCACAGAGTTGAACCTATCTAATGATTGAGCGGTTTTGAAACACTCATTTTGTAGAACCTGCAAGTGGATATTGGGAGTACTTTGTGGCCTTCTTTGGAAAAGGGAATATCTTCACATAAAAACTACAAAGAAGCATTCTGAGAAACTTCTTTGTGATGTGTGCATGCATCTCACAGTGTTGGACGTTTCTTTTGATGGGGCAGTTTCGAAAGAGTCTTCTTGTAGAGTCTGCAAGTGGATATTTGGAGCGCTTTGAGGCCTAATGTGGAAAATCAAATATCTTCACATAAAAACTACACAGAGGCATTCTGAGAAACTTCTTTTTTGTGTGTGCATTCAACTCACATAGTTGAAGTAATCTTTGGATTTAGCTGTTTTGAATCTCCTTTTTGCAGAATCTGCAAGTTGATACTTGGAGCCCTGTTTCACCCTATAGTGGAAAAGCAAATATCTTCACATAAACAAACCCTACAGAGAAGCATTCAGAGAAAGTCCTTTGTGATGTGTGCATTGAACATGCAGAGTTGACACTATCTTTTGATTGTACAGTTTTGAATACGTCTTTTTGTAGAATCTGCAAGTGGAAGTTTGGAGCTGTTTGCACCCTGTGGTGTAAAAGGAAATATCTTCATATAAAAGCTACACAGAAGCATTCAGAAAGACTTCTTTGTGATGAATGCGTTCCTCACACAGAGTTGAATCTTCCTTTTTATTGAGTAGTATTGAAACCCTCTTTTTGCAGAATAACCAGGTGGATATTTGGAGAGCTTTGAGGCCTGTTTTGGAAAAGCAAATATCTTCAAATTAAAACCACACAGAAGCATTCTGAGAAGCTTCTTTGTGATGTGTGCATTCAACTCTCAGAGTTCAACGTGTCTTATGATGGAGCAGTTTGGAAACACTCTTTTTTGTAGAAACTGCAAGTGGATATGTAGAGCGATTTGAGGCCTACTGTGGAAAAGCAAATATCTTCACATAACAACTACACAGAAGCACTCCTAGAAACTTCTTTGTGATGTGTGAATTCAACTCACAGAGCTGAACCTATCTTTTGATGGAGTAGCTTAGAATCTCTCTTTTTTTAGAATCTGCACGTGGATATTTGGAGCGCTTTGAGACCTAAAGTGGAAAAGCAAATATCTTCACATAAAATCTACATAGAGGCACTCTAAGAAACTTCTTTTTGATGTGTGCATTCACCTCACAGAGCTGAACCGATCCTTTGAGTGACCAGTTTTGAATCTCTCTTTTTATACAATCTGCAAGTGGATATTTGGAGCCCTTTGCGGCCTATGGTGGAAAAGGAAATATCTTCAAATAAAAACTACACAGAAATACTGTGAGAAACTTCTTTGTTATGTGAGCATTCAACTCACAGAGCTGAACCTATCTTTTGATTGAGCAGTTTTGAATCTCTCATTTTGCAGAATCTGCAAGGGGATATTTGGAGCCCTTTGCTACCTAGGGTGGAAAAGGAAATACCTCCAAATAAAAACTACACAGAGGCATTCCGAGAAACTTCTTTGTGATTGTGCATTCAACTCACAGAGTTAAACCTATCTTATGATTGACCAGTTTGGGAACACTCTTTTCATAGGATCTGCAAGTGGATATTTGGCGTCCTTTGAGGTCTATCGTGGAAAAGCAAATAACTTCAGATAAAAACTATACAGAAGCATTCTGAGAAACTTCTTTGTGATGTGTGCATTCATCTCACAAAGTTGAAACTTTATTTTGATTGAGCAGTTTTGAAACACTCTTTTTGTAGAATCTGCAAGTGGATAATTGGGGAGATTTGAGGAATATTGTGGAAAAGCAAATATCTTCCGATAAAAACTACACAGAAGCCTTCTGAGAAACATCTTTGTGAGGTTTGCATTCAACTCACAGAGTAGAAGCTATCTTTTGATTGAGGAGTTTTGAATCTCTCTTTTTTTCAGAATCTGCAAGTGGATATTTGGAGCGCTTTGAGGCCTACTTTTGAAAATCAAATATCTTCCCTTAAAAACTACACAGAAGCATTCTCAGAAATTGTTTGTCATGTGTGCTTCCTAATCACCGAGTTGAAACTATCTTGTGATTGAGCAGTTTTGAATCTCCCTTTTTGTAGAATCTGCAAGTGGATATTTTTAGTCCTTTGTAGACTGTGGTGGAAAAGAAATTATCTTGAAATCAATTCTACACAGAAGCATTCAGACAAACTTTTTGTGATGAGTGCATTGGTCACACAGAATTGAACCTCTCCTTTGATTGAGCAATTCTGAAACACTCTTTCAGAGGGTCTGCAAGTGGATATTTTAGAGCTTTGGGACAATTGTGGAAAAGTAAATATCTTCACATAAAAACTACACGGAAGCATTCTGAGAAACTTCTTTGGAGGTGTGCATTCAACTCACAGAGTTGAACCTATCTTTTCATTGAGCAGTTTTGAATCTCTCTTTTTGTAGACTCTGCTTGCAGATATTTGGAGAGCTTTGAGGCCTATTGTGGAAAAGGGAATATGTTCACATAAAAACACACAGAAGCACTCTGAGAAACTTCTTTGTGACGTGTGCATTCAACTCACAGAGTTGAACCTATCTTTTGATTGAGAAGCTTTGAATCTCTCTTTTTGTAGAAGCTGCATGTGGATATTTGGAGACGTTTGTGGCCTATGGTAGAAAAGGCAATATCTTCAAATAAAAACTAGACAGAAGCATTTTGAGAAATTTCTCTGTGCTGTGTGCATTCATATCACATGGTTGAAACTACCTTTTGGTTGAGCAGTTTTGAATCTCTCTTTTTGTAACATCTGCAATGGATATTTGGAGCCCTTTGTGGTCTGTGGTGGAAAAGGAACTATCCTCAAATAAAAACTACACAGAAGTATTCCGAGAAACTTCCTTGTGATGTGTGCATTCATCTCATACGGTTGAACCTTTGGTTTGATTGAGCAGTTTTGAGACAATCTTTCCATAGAATCTGGAAGTGAATATTTGGAGAACCTTGAGATCTATTTTGGAGAAGGAGATATCTTTATATAAAAACTGCACAGAAGCATTCTGAGAAACATCTTTGTGAGGTGTGCAATGAAGTCACAGAGTTGAAACTATCTTTTGATTCAGCAGTTTTGAGTCTCTCTTTTTGCAGAATCTGCGAGTGGATATCTGGAGAACGTTGAGGCCTACTTGGAAAAGGAAATATCTTCACATAAAAACTACGCAGAAGCATTTTGAGATTCTTCTTTGTGAGGTGTGCATGCAACTCACAGAGTTGAACTTATCTTTTCCTTGAGCACTTTCGTATCTCATTTTCTGTAGAATCTGCAAGTGGATATTTGGAGCTCTTTGCACCCTGTGGTGGAAAGGGAACTATCTTCATATAAAAACTACAAAGATAGCATTCAGAGAAACTTCTTTGTGATGAATGCATTCCTCACACAGAGTTGAGCCTTTCTTTTTATTGAGCAGTATTGAAACGCTCCTTTTGCAGAATCACCAAGTGGATATTTGGAGAGCTTTGGGGCCTGATTTGGAAAATGAAATATCTTCAAAGTAAAACTACACAGAACCATTCTGAGCAAACTTCTTCATGATGTGAGCATTCAACTCTCAGTGTTGAAGCTACCTTATGATTGAGCAATTTGGAAACACTCTTTTTGTAGAGCCTGCAAGTGGATATTTAGAACGATTTGAGGCCTATTGTGGAAAAGCAAATATCTTCACATAAAAACTACACAGAAGCATTCTCACAAACTTCTTTGGGATGTGTGCATTCAACTAACAGTGTTGAACCTATCTTTTGATTGAGCAGCTTAGAATCTCTCCTTTTGTAGAAAATGCAAGTAGAGATTTGGAGCCCCATTTCGCCCTATGGTAGAAAACAGAACATCTTCACATAAAAACTACACAGAAGCATTCTGAGAAACTTCTTTGTGATGTTTGCATTGAACTCCCAGAGTCGAACCTATCTTTTGATAGAGCAGTTTTGTATCTCTCTTTTTGCAGAATCTGCAAGTGGATATTTGGAAAGCTTGAGGCCTATTGTGAAAAAGGAAATATCTTCACATAGAAACTACAGAGAAGCATTCTGAGAAACTTCTTTGTGAGGCATGGATTCAACCCACAGAGTTGGACTTATCATTGAGCAGTTTTGAATGTCTCTTTTTGTCGAATCTGCAAGTGGATATTTGGAGCCCTTGGCAACCTAGGGTGGAAAAGGAAATACCTTCAAATAAAAACTATATAGAAGCATTCCGTAAAACTTCTTTGTGACGTGTGCATTCGTCTCACAGAGTTGAACCTATCTAATGATTGAGCGGTTTTGAAACACTCATTTTGTAGAACCTGCAAGTGGATATTGGGAGTACTTTGTGGCCTTCTTTGGAAAAGGGAATATCTTCACATAAAAACTACAAAGAAGCATTCTGAGAAACTTCTTTGTGATGTGTGCATTCATCTCACAGTGTTGGACGTTTCTTTTGATAGGGCAGTTTTGAAACACTCTTTTTCTAGAATCTGCAAGTGGATATTTGGAGCGCTTTGAGGCCTAATGTGGAAAATCAAATATCTTCACATAAAAACTACACAGAGGCATTCTGAGAAACTTCTTTTTTGTGTGTGCATTCAACTCACATAGTTGAAGTAATCTTTGGATTTAGCTGTTTTGAATCTCCTTTTTGCAGAATCTGCAAGTTGATACTTGGAGCCCTGTTTCACCCTATAGTGGAAAAGCAAATGTCTTCACATAAACAAACCCTACAGAGAAGCATTCAGAGAAAGTCCTTTGTGATGTGTGCATTGAACATGCAGAGTTGACACTATCTTTTGATTGTACAGTTTTGAATACGTCTTTTTGTAGAATCTGCAAGTGGAAGTTTGGAGCTGTTTGCACCCTGTGGTGTAAAAGGAAATATCTTCATATAAAAGCTACACAGAAGCATTCAGAAAGACTTCTTTGTGATGAATGCGTTCCTCACACAGAGTTGAATCTTCCTTTTTATTGAGTAGTATTGAAACCCTCTTTTTGCAGAATAACCAGGTGGATATTCGGAGAGCTTTGAGGTCTGTTTTGGAAAAGGAAATATCTTCAAATTAAAACCACACAGAAGCATTCTGAGAAGCTTCTTTGTGATGTGTGCATTCAACTCTCAGAGTTCAACGTGTCTTATGATGGAGCAGTTTGGAAACACTCTTTTTTGTAGAAACTGCAAGTGGATATGTAGAGCGATTTGAGGCCTACTGTGGAAAAGCAAATATCTTCACATAACAACTACACAGAAGCACTCCTAGAAACTTCTTTGTGATGTGTGAATTCAACTCACAGAGCTGAACCTATCTTTTGATGGAGTAGCTTAGAATCTCTCTTTTTTTAGAATCTGCACGTGGATATTTGGAGCGCTTTGAGACCTAAAGTGGAAAAGCAAATATCTTCACATAAAATCTACATAGAGGCACTCTAAGAAACTTCTTTTTGATGTGTGCATTCACCTCACAGAGCTGAACCGATCCTTTGAGTGACCAGTTTTGAATCTCTCTTTTTATACAATCTGCAAGTGGATATTTGGAGCCCTTTGCGGCCTATGGTGGAAAAGGAAATATCTTCAAATAAAAACTACACAGAAATACTGTGAGAAACTTCTTTGTTATGTGAGCATTCAACTCACAGAGTTGAACCTATCTTTTGATTGAGCAGTTTTGAATCTCTCATTTTGCAGAATCTGTAAGGGGATATTTGGAGCCCTTTGCGGCCTATGGTGGAAAAGGAAATACCTTCAAATGAAAAGCACACAGAGGCATTCTGAGAAACTTCCTCGTGATTGTGCATTCAACTCACAGAGTTAAACCTATCTTATGATTGACCAGTTTTGGAACACTCTTTTCATAGGATCTGCAAGTGGATATTTGGCGTGCTTTGAGGCCTATCGTGGAAAAGCAAATAACTTCAGATAAAAACTATACAGAAGCATTCTGAGAAACTTCTTTGTGATGTGTGCATTGATCTCACAGAGTTGAAAGTGTATTTTGATTGAGCAGTTTTAAAACACTCCTTCTGTAGAATCTGCAAGTGGATAATTGGAGAGATTTGAGGTATGTTGTGGAAAAGCAAATATCTTCATATAAAAACTATACAGA
>NC_000015.10:18341858-18355008 GCF_000001405.40 Homo sapiens
CGCATTTTGAGAAAATTCTCTGTGCTGTGTGCATTCATAACACATGTTTGAAACTACCTTTGGATTGAGCAGTTTTGAATCTATCTTTTTGTACCATCTGCAATGGATATTTGGAGCCCTTTGTGGTCTGTGGTGGAAAAGGAACTATCCTCAAATAGAAACTACACAGAAGTACTCTGAGAAACTTCTTTGTGATGTGTGCATTCATCTCACAGAGTTGAACCTTTGGTTTGATTGAGCAGTTTTGAGACAATCTTTCCATAGAATCTGGAAGTGAATATTTGGAGAACTTTGAGATCCACTTTGGAGAAGGAGATATCTTTATATAAAAACTACACAGAAGCATTCTGAGAAACATCCTTGTGAGGTGTGCACTGAAGTCACAGAGTTGAAACTGTCTTTTGATTCAGCAGTTTTAAATCTCTCCTTTGCAGAATCTGTGAGTGGATATTTGGAGCGCTTTGAGGCATACTGTGGAAAATCAAATATCTTCACATATAAACTACACAGAAGCATCCTGAGAAACTTTTTTTGTGATGTGGTCTTTCAACTAATGGAGTTGAACTTATCTTTTGATTGAGCCGTTTTGAATCTCTCTTTTGCAGAATCTACAAGTGGATAATTGGAGAATTTTGAGGAGTACTGTGGAAAAT
The DNA here is from genome assembly GCF_000001405.40 of Homo sapiens. Classification (NCBI taxonomy): domain Eukaryota; kingdom Metazoa; phylum Chordata; class Mammalia; order Primates; family Hominidae; genus Homo; species Homo sapiens. The sequence continues at coordinate 18,342,512 of NC_000015.10, forward strand.
CGAATATCTTCGCATAAAAACTACACAGAAGCATTCTGAGAAACTTCTCTGTCATACGTACATTCATCTCACAGGATTGATCCTATTTTACGATTGAGCAGTTTTGAAACACACCTTTGGAGAATCTGCAAGTGAATATTTGGAGCTCATTGGGGCCTACTGTGGAAAAACAAATATCTTCACATAAAAACTACACAGAAGCATTCTGAGAAACTACTTTGTGATGTGTGCATTCATCCCACAGAGTAGAACCTTTCTTTTGATTGAGCAGTTTTGAAACACTCTTTTTGTAGAATCTGCAAGTGGATATTTGGAAAGCTTCGAGGACTATTGTGGAAAGGGAAATATCTTCAAATAAAAACCACCCAGAAGCACTCTGTGAAACTTCTTTGCGATGTGTGCATTCAACTCACAGTGTTGAACCTATGTTTTGATTGAGCAGTTTGGAATCTCTCTTTCTGTAGAATCTGCAAGTGAATATTTGGAGCCCTATTTCGCCCTATACTGGAAAAGCAATTATCTTCAAATAAAAACTGCACAGAAGCACTCAGAGAAACTTCTTTGTGATGAATGCATTCATCACACAGAGTTGAACCTTTGTTTTGATTTAGGAGTTTTGAGACCATCCTTCCGTAGAATCTTGAAGTGAATATTTGGAGGGCTTGGAGTTCTGTTTTAGAGAAGAAGATATCTTCATCAAAAACTACACAGAAGCTTTCTTAGAAACTTCTTTGTGATGTGTGCATTCAACTATCGGAGTTGAACCTATCTTATGATTGAGCAGTTTGGAAACACTCTTTGTAGAGTCTGCAAGTGGATATTTACAGAGATTTGAGGCCTGTTGTGGAAAAGGAAGTATCTTCACATAAAAACCACACAGAAGCACTCTGAAAAACATCTTTGGGATGTGTGCATTCAACTAACCGTGTTGAAACAATGTTTTGATTGAGCAGCTTAGAATCTCTCTTTTTGTAGGAAATGCAAGTGGATATTTGGAGCCCCATTTCGCCCTATGGTGGAAAACGAAACATACTCACAAAAAAGCTGCAGAGAAGCATTCTGAGAAACTTCTTTGCGATGTTGGCATTCAACTCACAGAGTCGAATCTATCTTTTGATAGAGCAGTTTTGTATCTCTCTTTTTGCAGAATCTGCAAGTGGATATTTGGAAAGCTTTGAGGCCTATTGTGGAAAGGGAAATATCCTCAAATAAAAACTACCCAGAAGCACTCTGTGAAACTTCTTTGTGATGTGTGCATTCAACTCACAGTGTTGAACCTATGTTTTGATTGAGCAGTTTGGAATCTCTCCTTTTGTAGAATCTGCAAGTGAATATTTGGAGCCCTATTTCGCCCTATACTGGAAAAGCAAATATCTTCAAATAAAAACTACACAGAGGCATTCAGAGAAACTTCTCTGTGATGAGTGCATTCATCACACAGAGTTGAACATTTGTTTAGATTTAGCAGTGTTGAGACAATCTTTCCGTAGAATCTTGAAGTGAATATTTGGAGGGCTTTGAGACCTGCTTTGGAGAAGGAGATATCTTCATATAAAAACTACACAGAAGCTTTCTGAGAAACACCCTTGTGAGGTGTGCATTGAAGTCACAGAGTTAAACCTATCTTTTGATTCAGCAGATTTGAATCTCTCTTTTTGCAGAATCTGCGAGTGGATATTTGGAGTGCTTGGAAGCCTGCTGTGGAAAATCAAATATCTTCACAAAAAAAACTACACAGAAGCATTCTGAGAAACTTCTTTGTGATGTGTGCATTGATCTCACAGAGTTGAAAGTTTATTTTGATTGAGCTGTTTTGAAACACTCTTTTTCTAGAATCTGCAAGTGGATAATTGGGGAGATTTGAGGCATATTGTGGAAAAGCCAATATCTTCATATAAAAACTATACAGAAACCTTCTGAGAAACATCTTTGTGATGTGTGCATTCAGCTCACAGAGCTGGACCTAACTTTTGAGTGACCAGTTTTGAATCTCTTTTTTTGTACAATATGCAAGTGGATATTTGGAGCGATTTGAGGCCTACATTTGAAAATCAAATATCTTCCCTTAAAAACTACACAGAAACATTCTCAGAAATTGTTTGTCATGTGTGCTTTCCAATTACCAAGTTGAACCTATCTTGTGATTGAGCAGTTTTGAATCTCTCTTTTTGTGGAATCGGCAAGTGGATATTTTTAGCCCTTTGCGGACTGTGGTGGAAAAGGAATTATCTTCAAATCAATTCTACACAGAAGCATTCAGACAAACTTCTTTGTGATGAGTGCATTGGTCACACAGAATTGAACCTTCCCTTTGATTGAGCAATTCTGAAACACTCTTTTGGAGGGTCTGCAAGTGGACATTTTAGAGCTTTGGGACAACTGTGGAAAAGTAAATATCTTCACATAAAAACTACACGGAAGCATTCTGAGAAACTTCTTTGGAGGTGTGCATTCAACTCACAGAGTTGAACCTATCTTTTCATTGAGCAGTTTTGAATCTCTCATTTTGTAGACTCTGCTCGCAGATATTTGGAGAGCTTTGAGGCCTATTGTGGAAAAGGAAATATCTTCACATAAAAACACACAGAAGCACTCTGAGAAACTTCTTTGTGAGGTGTGCTTTCAACTCACAGAGTTGAACCTATCTTTTGATTGAGAAGTTTTGAATCTCTCTTTTTGTAGAAGCTGCATGTGGATATTTGGAGACGTTTGTGGCCTGTGGTAGAAAAGGAAATATCTTCAAATAAAAACTAGACAGAACGCATTTTGAGAAAATTCTCTGTGCTGTGTGCATTCATATCACATGGTTGAAACTACCTTTGGATTGAGCAGTTTTGAATCTCACTTTTTGTACCATCTGCAATGGATATTTGGAGCCCTTTCTGGTCTGTGGTGGAAAAGGAACTATCCTCAAATAGAAACTACACAGAAGTACTCTGAGAAACTTCTTTGTGATGTGGGCATTCATCTCACAGAGTTGAACCTTTGGTTTGATTGAGCAGTTTTGAGACAATCTTTCCATAGAATCTGGAAGTGAATATTTGGAGAACTTTGAGATCCATTTTGGAGAAGGAGATATCTTTATATAAAAACTACACAGAAGCATTCTGAGAAACATCCTTGTGAGGTGTGCACTGAAGTCACAGAGTTGAAACTGTCTTTTGATTCAGCAGTTTTGAATCTCTCTTTTTGCAGAGTCTGTGAGCGGATATTTGGAGCGCTTTGAGGCCTACTGTGGAAAACCAAATATGTTCACATAAAAACTACACAGAAGCATCCTGAGAAACTTTTTTTGTGATGTGGTCTTTCAGCTAATGGAGTAGAAACTATCTTTTGATTGAGCAGTTTTGAATCTCTCTTTTTGCAGAATCTACGAGTGGATAATTGGAGAACTTTGAGGCGTACTGTGGAAAATCGAATATCTTCGCATAAAAACTACACAGAAGCATTCTGAGAAACTTCTCTGTCATACGTACATTCATCTCACAGGGTTGATCCTATTTCATGATTGAGCAGTTTCGGAACACTCTTTTTGTAGAATCTGCAAGTGAATATTTGGAGCTCCTTGGGGCCTACTGTGGAAAAACAAATATCTTCACATAAAAACTACACAGAAGCATTCTGAGAAACTACTTTGTGATGTGTGCATTCATCCCACAGAGTAGAACCTTTCTTTTGATTGAGCAGTTTCGAAACACTCTTTTGGTGGAATCTGCAAGTGGACATTTGGAAAGCTTTGAGGCCTATTGTGGAAAGGGAAATATCTTCAAATAAAAACCACCCAGAAGTACTCTGTGAAACTTCTTTGCGATGTATGCATTCAACTCACAGTGTTGAACCTATGTTTTGATTGAGCAGTTTGGAATCTCTCTTTCTGTAGAATCTGCAAGTGAATATTTGGAGCCCTATTTCGCCCTATACTGGAAAAGCAATTATCTTCAAATAAAAACTGCACAGAAGCACTCAGAGAAACTTCTTTGTGATGAATGCATTCATCACACAGAGTTGAACCTTTGTTTTGATTTAGCAGTTTGAGACAATCTTTCCGTAGAATCTTGAAGTGAATATTTGGAGGGCTTGGAGTTCTGTTTTAGAGAAGAAGATATCTTCATCAAAAACTACACAGAAGCTTTCTGAGAAACTTCTTTGTGATGTGTGCATTCAACTATCGGAGTTGAACCTATCTTATGATTGAGCAGTTTGGAAACACTCTTTGTAGAGTCTGCAAGTGGATATTTACAGAGATTTGAGGCCTATTGTGGAAAAGGAAGTATCTTCACATAAAAACCACACAGAAGCACTCTGAAAAACATCTTTGGGATGTGTGCATTCAACTAACCGTGTTGAAACAATGTTTTGATTGAGCAGCTTAGAATCTCTCTTTTTGTAGGAAATGCAAGTGGATATTTGGAGCCCCATTTCGCCCTATGGTGGAAAACGAAACATACTCACAAAAAAGCTGCAGAGAAGCATTCTGAGAAACTTCTTTGCGATGTTGGCATTCAACTCACAGAGTCGAATCTATCTTTTGATAGAGCAGTTTTGTATCTCTCTTTTTGCAGAATCTGCAAGTGGATATTTGGAAAGCTTTGAGGCCTATTGTGGAAAGGGAAATATCCTCAAATAAAAACTACCCAGAAGCACTCTGTGAAACTTCTTTGTGATGTGTGCATTCAACTCACAGTGTTGAACCTATGTTTTGATTGAGCAGTTTGGAATCTCTCCTTTTGTAGAATCTGCAAGTGAATATTTGGAGCCCTATTTCGCCCTATACTGGAAAAGCAAATATCTTCAAATAAAAACTACACAGAGGCATTCAGAGAAACTTCTCTGTGATGAGTGCATTCATCACACAGAGTTGAACATTTGTTTAGATTTAGCAGTGTTGAGACAATCTTTCCGTAGAATCTTGAAGTGAATATTTGGAGGGCTTTGAGACCTGCTTTGGAGAAGGAGATATCTTCATATAAAAACTACACAGAAGCTTTCTGAGAAACACCCTTGTGAGGTGTGCATTGAAGTCACAGAGTTAAACCTATCTTTTGATTCAGCAGATTTGAATCTCTCTTTTTGCAGAATCTGCGAGTGGATATTTGGAGTGCTTGGAAGCCTGCTGTGGAAAATCAAATATCTTCACAAAAAAAACTACACAGAAGCATTCTGAGAAACTTCTTTGTGATGTGTGCATTGATCTCACAGAGTTGAAAGTTTATTTTGATTGAGCTGTTTTGAAACACTCTTTTTCTAGAATCTGCAAGTGGATAATTGGGGAGATTTGAGGCATATTGTGGAAAAGCAAATATCTTCATATAGAAACTATACAGAAACCTTCTGAGAAACATCTTTGTGATGTGTGCATTCAGCTCACAGAGCTGGACCTAACTTTTGAGTGACCAGTTTTGAATCTCTCTTTTTGTACAATATGCAAGTGGATATTTGGAGCGATTTGAGGCCTACATTTGAAAATCAAATATCTTCCCTTAAAAACTACACAGAAACATTCTCAGAAATTGTTTGTCATGTGTGCTTTCCAATTACCAAGTTGAACCTATCTTGTGATTGAGCAGTTTTGAATCTCTCTTTTTGTGGAATCGGCAAGTGGATATTTTTAGCCCTTTGCGGACTGTGGTGGAAAAGGAATTATCTTCAAATCAATTCTACACAGAAGCATTCAGACAAACTTCTTTGTGATGAGTGCATTGGTCACACAGAATTGAACCTTCCCTTTGATTGAGCAATTCTGAAACACTCTTTTGGAGGGTCTGCAAGTGGATATTTTAGAGCTTTGGGACAACTGTGGAAAAGTAAATATCTTCACATAAAAACTACACGGAAGCATTCTGAGAAACTTCTTTGGAGGTGTGCATTCAACTCACAGAGTTGAACCTATCTTTTCATTGAGCAGTTTTGAATCTCTCATTTTGTAGACTCTGCTCGCAGATATTTGGAGAGCTTTGAGGCCTATTGTGGAAAAGGAAATATCTTCACATAAAAACACACAGAAGCACTCTGAGAAACTTCTTTGTGAGGTGTGCTTTCAACTCACAGCAGTTGAACCTATCTTTTGATTGAGAAGTTTTGAATCTCTCTTTTTGTAGAAGCTGCATGTGGATATTTGGAGACGTTTGTGGCCTATGGTAGAAAAGGAAATATCTTCAAATAAAAACTAGACAGACGCATTTTGAGAAAATTCTCTGTGCTGTGTGCATTCATATCACATGGTTGAAACTACCTTTGGATTGAGCAGTTTTGAATCTCACTTTTTGTACCATCTGCAATGGATATTTGGAGCCCTTTCTGGTCTGTGGTGGAAAAGGAACTATCCTCAAATAGAAACTACACAGAAGTACTCTGAGAAACTTCTTTGTGATGTGGGCATTCATCTCACAGAGTTGAACCTTTGGTTTGATTGAGCAGTTTTGAGACAATCTTTCCATAGAATCTGGAAGTGAATATTTGGAGAACTTTGAGATCCATTTTGGAGAAGGAGATATCTTTATATAAAAACTACACAGAAGCATTCTGAGAAACATCCTTGTGAGGTGTGCACTGAAGTCACAGAGTTGAAACTGTCTTTTGATTCAGCAGTTTTGAATCTCTCTTTTTGCAGAATCTGTGAGTGGATATTTGGAGCGCTTTGAGGCCTACTGTGGAAAACCAAATATCTTCACATAAAAACTACACAGAAGCATCCTGAGAAACTTTTTTTGTGATGTGGTCTTTCAGCTAATGGAGTAGAAACTATCTTTTGATTGAGCAGTTTTGAATCTCTCTTTTTGCAGAATCTACGAGTGGATAATTGGAGAACTTTGAGGCGTACTGTGGAAAATCGAATATCTTCGCATAAAAACTACACAGAAGCATTCTGAGAAACTTCTCTGTCATACGTACATTCATCTCACAGGGTTGATCCTATTTCATGATTGAGCAGTTTTGGAACACTCTTTTTGTAGAATCTGCAAGTGAATATTTGGAGCTCTTTGGGGCCTACTGTGGAAAAACAAATATCTTCACATAAAAACTACACAGAAGCATTCTGAGAAACTACTTTGTGATGTGTGCATTCATCCCACAGAGTAGAACCTTTCTTTTGATTGAGCAGTTTCGAAACACGCTTTTGGTGGAATCTGCAAGTGGACATTTGGAAAGCTTTGAGGCCTATTGTGGAAAGGGAAATATCTTCAAATAAAAACCACCCAGAAGTACTCTGTGAAACTTCTTTGCGATGTATGCATTCAACTCACAGTGTTGAACCTATGTTTTGATTGAGCAGTTTGGAATCTCTCTTTCTGTAGAATCTGCAAGTGAATATTTGGAGCCCTATTTCGCCCTATACTGGAAAAGCAATTATCTTCAAATAAAAACTGCACAGAAGCACTCAGAGAAACTTCTTTGTGATGAATGCATTCATCACACAGAGTTGAACCTTTGTTTTGATTTAGCAGTTTGAGACAATCTTTCCGTAGAATCTTGAAGTGAATATTTGGAGGGCTTGGAGTTCTGTTTTAGAGAAGAAGATATCTTCATCAAAAACTACACAGAAGCTTTCCGAGAAACTTCTTTGTGATGTGTGCATTCAACTATCGGAGTTGAACCTATCTTATGATTGAGGAGTTTGGAAACACTCTTTGTAGAGTCTGCAAGTGGATATTTACAGAGATTTGAGGCCTATTGTGGAAAAGGAAGTATCTTCACATAAAAACCACACAGAAGCACTCTGAAAAACATCTTTGGGATGTGTGCATTCAACTAACCGTGTTGAAACAATGTTTTGATTGAGCAGCTTAGAATCTCTCTTTTTGTAGGAAATGCAAGTGGATATTTGGAGCCCCATTTCGCCCTATGGTGGAAAACGAAACATACTCACAAAAAAGCTGCAGAGAAGCATTCTGAGAAACTTCTTTGCGATGTTGGCATTCAACTCACAGAGTCGAATCTATCTTTTGATAGAGCAGTTTTGTATCTCTCTTTTTGCAGAATCTGCAAGTGGATATTTGGAAAGCTTTGAGGCCTATTGTGGAAAGGGAAATATCCTCAAATAAAAACTACCCAGAAGCACTCTGTGAAACTTCTTTGTGATGTGTGCATTCAACTCACAGTGTTGAACCTATGTTTTGATTGAGCAGTTTGGAATCTCTCCTTTTGTAGAATCTGCAAGTGAATATTTGGAGCCCTATTTCGCCCTATACTGGAAAAGCAAATATCTTCAAATAAAAACTACACAGAGGCATTCAGAGAAACTTCTCTGTGATGAGTGCATTCATCACACAGAGTTGAACATTTGTTTAGATTTAGCAGTGTTGAGACAATCTTTCCGTAGAATCTTGAAGTGAATATTTGGAGGGCTTTGAGACCTGCTTTGGAGAAGGAGATATCTTCATATAAAAACTACACAGAAGCTTTCTGAGAAACACCCTTGTGAGGTGTGCATTGAAGTCACAGAGTTAAACCTATCTTTTGATTCAGCAGATTTGAATCTCTCTTTTTGCAGAATCTGCGAGTGGATATTTGGAGTGCTTGGAAGCCTGCTGTGGAAAATCAAATATCTTCACAAAAAAAACTACACAGAAGCATTCTGAGAAACTTCTTTGTGATGTGTGCATTGATCTCACAGAGTTGAAAGTTTATTTTGATTGAGCTGTTTTGAAACACTCTTTTTCTAGAATCTGCAAGTGGATAATTGGGGAGATTTGAGGCATATTGTGGAAAAGCCAATATCTTCATATAGAAACTATACAGAAACCTTCTGAGAAACATCTTTGTGATGTGTGCATTCAGCTCACAGAGCTGGACCTAACTTTTGAGTGACCAGTTTTGAATCTCTCTTTTTGTACAATATGCAAGTGGATATTTGGAGCGATTTGAGGCCTACATTTGAAAATCAAATATCTTCCCTTAAAAACTACACAGAAAGCATTCTCAGAAATTGTTTGTCATGTGTGCTTCCTAATCACCGAGTTGAACCTATCTTGTGATTGAGCAGTTTTGAATCTCTCTTTTTGTAGAATCTGCAAGTGGATATTTTTAGTCCTTTGTAGACTGTGGTGGAAAAGGAATTATCTTGAAATCAATTCTACACAGAAGCATTCAGACAAACTTCTTTGTGATGAGTGCATTGGTCACACAGAATTGAACCTTCCCTTTGATTGAGCAATTCTGAAACACTCTTTTGGAGGGTCTGCAAGTGGACATTTTAGAGCTTTGGGACAACTGTGGAAAAGTAAATATCTTCACATAAAAACTACACGGAAGCATTCTGAGAAACTTCTTTGGAGGTGTGCATTCAACTCACAGAGTTGAACCTATCTTTTCATTGAGCAGTTTTGAATCTCTCATTTTGTAGACTCTGCTCGCAGATATTTGGAGAGCTTTGAGGCCTATTGTGGAAAAGGAAATATCTTCACATAAAAACACACAGAAGCACTCTGAGAAACTTCTCTGTGAGGTGTGCTTTCAACTCACAGAGTTGAACCTATCTTTTGATTGAGAAGTTTTGAATCTCTCTTTTTGTAGAAGCTGCATGTGGATATTTGGAGACGTTTGTGGCCTATGGTAGAAAAGGAAATATCTTCAAATAAAAACTAGACAGACGCATTTTGAGAAAATTCTCTGTGCTGTGTGCATTCATATCACATGGTTGAAACTACCTTTGGATTGAGCAGTTTTGAATCTCACTTTTTGTACCATCTGCAATGGATATTTGGAGCCCTTTCTGGTCTGTGGTGGAAAAGGAACTATCCTCAAATAGAAACTACACAGAAGTACTCTGAGAAACTTCTTTGTGATGTGGGCATTCATCTCACAGAGTTGAACCTTTGGTTTGATTGAGCAGTTTTGAGACAATCTTTCCATAGAATCTGGAAGTGAATATTTGGAGAACTTTGAGATCCATTTTGGAGAAGGAGATATCTTTATATGAAAACTACACAGAAGCATTCTGAGAAACATCTTTGTGAGGTGTGCACTGAAGTCACAGAGTTCAAACTATCTTTTGATTCAGCAATTTTGAATCTCTCTTTTTGCAGAATCTGTGAGTGGATATTTGGAGTGCTTTGTGGCCTACTGTGGAAAACCAAATATCTTCACATAAAAACTACACAGAAGCATCCTGAGAAACTTTTTTTGTGATGTGGTCTTTCAGCTAATGGAGTAGAAACTATCTTTTGATTGAGCAGTTTTGAATCTCTCTTTTTGCAGAATCTACGAGTGGATAATTGGAGAACTTTGAGGCGTACTGTGGAAAATCGAATATCTTCGCATAAAAACTACACAGAAGCATTCTGAGAAACTTCTCTGTCATACGTACATTCATCTCACAGGGTTGATCCTATTTCATGATTGAGCAGTTTTGGAACACTCTTTTTGTAGAATCTGCAAGTGAATATTTGGAGCTCTTTGGGGCCTACTGTGGAAAAACAAATATCTTCACATAAAAACTACACAGAAGCATTCTGAGAAACTACTTTGTGATGTGTGCATTCATCCCACAGAGTAGAACCTTTCTTTTGATTGAGCAGTTTCGAAACACTCTTTTGGTGGAATCTGCAAGTGGACATTTGGAAAGCTTTGAGGCCTATTGTGGAAAGGGAAATATCTTCAAATAAAAACCACCCAGAAGTACTCTGTGAAACTTCTTTGCGATGTATGCATTCAACTCACAGTGTTGAACCTATGTTTTGATTGAGCAGTTTGGAATCTCTCTTTCTGTAGAATCTGCAAGTGAATATTTGGAGCCCTATTTCGCCCTATACTGGAAAAGCAATTATCTTCAAATAAAAACTGCACAGAAGCACTCAGAGAAACTTCTTTGTGATGAATGCATTCATCACACAGAGTTGAACCTTTGTTTTGATTTAGCAGTTTGAGACAATCTTTCCGTAGAATCTTGAAGTGAATATTTGGAGGGCTTGGAGTTCTGTTTTAGAGAAGAAGATATCTTCATCAAAAACTACACAGAAAGCTTTCTGAGAAACTTCTTTGTGATATGTGCATTCAACTATCGGAGTTGAACCTATCTTATGATTGAGCAGTTTGGAAACACTCTTTGTGGAGTCTGCAAGTGGATATTTACAGAGATTTGAGGCCTATTGTGGAAAAGGAAGTATCTTCACATAAAAACCACACAGAAGCACTCTGAAAAACATCTTTGGGATGTGTGCATTCAACTAACCGTGTTGAAACAATGTTTTGATTGAGCAGCTTAGAATCTCTCTTTTTGTAGGAAATGCAAGTGGATATTTGGAGCCCCATTTCGCCCTATGGTGGAAAACGAAACATACTCACAAAAAAGCTGCAGAGAAGCATTCTGAGAAACTTCTTTGCGATGTTGGCATTCAACTCACAGAGTCGAATCTATCTTTTGATAGAGCAGTTTTGTATCTCTCTTTTTGCAGAATCTGCAAGTGGATATTTGGAAAGCTTTGAGGCCTATTGTGGAAAGGGAAATATCCTCAAATAAAAACTACCCAGAAGCACTCTGTGAAACTTCTTTGTGATGTGTGCATTCAACTCACAGTGTTGAACCTATGTTTTGATTGAGCAGTTTGGAATCTCTCCTTTTGTAGAATCTGCAAGTGAATATTTGGAGCCCTATTTCGCCCTATACTGGAAAAGCAAATATCTTCAAATAAAAACTACACAGAGGCATTCAGAGAAACTTCTCTGTGATGAGTGCATTCATCACACAGAGTTGAACATTTGTTTAGATTTAGCAGTGTTGAGACAATCTTTCCGTAGAATCTTGAAGTGAATATTTGGAGGGCTTTGAGACCTGCTTTGGAGAAGGAGATATCTTCATATAAAAACTACACAGAAGCTTTCTGAGAAACACCCTTGTGAGGTGTGCATTGAAGTCACAGAGTTAAACCTATCTTTTGATTCAGCAGATTTGAATCTCTCTTTTTGCAGAATCTGCGAGTGGATATTTGGAGTGCTTGGAAGCCTGCTGTGGAAAATCAAATATCTTCACAAAAAAAACTACACAGAAGCATTCTGAGAAACTTCTTTGTGATGTGTGCATTGATCTCACAGAGTTGAAAGTTTATTTTGATTGAGCTGTTTTGAAACACTCTTTTTCTAGAATCTGCAAGTGGATAATTGGGGAGATTTGAGGCATATTGTGGAAAAGCCAATATCTTCATATAAAAACTATACAGAAACCTTCTGAGAAACATCTTTGTGATGTGTGCATTCAGCTCACAGAGCTGGACCTAACTTTTGAGTGACCAGTTTTGAATCTCTCTTTTTGTACAATATGCAAGTGGATATTTGGAGCGATTTGAGGCCTACATTTGAAAATCAAATATCTTCCCTTAAAAACTACACAGAAACATTCTCAGAAATTGTTTGTCATGTGTGCTTTCCAATTACCAAGTTGAACCTATCTTGTGATTGAGCAGTTTTGAATCTCTCTTTTTGTGGAATCGGCAAGTGGATATTTTTAGCCCTTTGCGGACTGTGGTGGAAAAGGAATTATCTTCAAATCAATTCTACACAGA